>NT_187602.1:300000-478999 GCF_000001405.40 Homo sapiens | reverse complement strand
GAATTCCAACTGAGAGTTAAAGTGGTGACGCATGTGACCAAGCAGAAGGCAAACTGGATGCCGGTAGAGCTGCCAACCCATGGGGAGTCCCACAGCTGGAGCAACACCACCCGCCCTGGGGAGGGGAAGATGATCCAATCATGAAGATTGTTAAGGAGTTAGCCCAGGTAGGCATTAGGAGGCCACTGCACAGTTCCTACAACAGACCTGCATGGCCCATGCAGAGGCCAGTTGGGACATGGAGAATGACAGTAGATTACTGGGAGTTAAATAAGGTGGTCTCCCGAGTGAATGCAGCTGTTCCTAATATCTCCTCCAGTCTGACGAGAATAGGAGAGGTGTTAGCCACATAGCATTTCGTTATCAGTTTAGTCAATACCTTCTTCAGCATTTCTGCTGCCCCACATTCAAGATCAATTTGCATTAACCTAAAAAGAACAATGGACTTTTACTGTCTTGTTCCAGGGATATTTACACAGCCCAACTCTCACAGCCTAGTGACCTCCAACCTCAGTTGATGGGCTGACCCAAAGGGGATACATGTTTTCCACTACATTGGTGTTATCATGGTAACTTCTGAGTCTTTTTTCAGCTTATAAATTGCAGCCCCTGTCTTGCTGTCTCACTTGCTGAACAGAGGATGGGAGGTTAATACAGACAAAATCCAGGGTCCAGGCTTATCAGTCAAATAGTTGGTGTCATCTGGTTTGGTAAAACTAAAGTCATTCCATCTGCCATCATAGATAAGGTGCGGGCTTACCCATGTCCCACCACAACAAAGCAGCTGCAAGCTTTCAAGGCCCTCTGGAGCATCAGTGTCCTTTTATTCCTTTTATTTGACATCCCTGGAGGAGGCTGCTAGGGGAGACTGTGTCCCTCCTAAATTCATGTGCTGAAGTCCCAACCCTTGGTCCTTCAGAATGAAATCATACTTGGATTAGTGTCTTTTAAAGAGCTAAATAAGTTAAAGTGAGATTCCTGGAGTGGGGCCCTAATGCAATCTGACTGTTGTTATAAGAAGGGGAAGCAGGAGGGGGGGTGCACACGCCCCGAGGGACGGCCATGTTACCACAGAACAGCGAGAAGGCGCCATCTGCACGCCAGGGAGCGAGACCTCAGAGGAAACCCACCCAGCTGGCAGCTTGATCTTAGGCTTTCATCCTCCATAAGTGTGAGGAAATTGGTTTTGTATTGTAAGCCATCCGATCTGTGGTATTTTGTCATAAAAGCCCTATAAAATGAATACAGTAGGTAATAGGAGAGCTTCTATACATTGAAAAAGTCGGATGGCCAGACAAACCTGGACACTCCTGTTCAGACCTGAGCAGGGTGATGGACCTGCTTTGGGACAGGAGAGGGGAAGAGATGAACCCAGCACCCAGACCCAGCTGAGCCCATTCCTCAGCAGGCTGTCCCTGGGCCAGAGCTTGCACAGGCATGAAAGAGCCTGTCTTGGTCTTCAGGGGCTCGTGGAGTTGGACGGAGAATGGTGTAGACTCAAGAACATGTCATCGTTGTGCCCGTGTTTATGTGAATGGGATGTGTTTCTAGGGTGTGCTCATCCCCAGAGAAGAATTAATCAGGTCTCCTGGGCTAGAAAGAGGTTGTGGCATTTGTGTGTATTAATAACTGTAGTCGGACAGTAAATTATGTTAAAATGCTTATGGGAAGGCACAATGGAAAGAAACACTTTGTTACAGAAGGGAAAAAAAGGTAATTATTCAAATGAGATGCCTTTGAAGGTCACTATGCCAAGAGGAGCCGATCGCATGATAGTGTTAGGTTTCACGTTCAGGAGATCAGGAGGGTCCGTCTGCTGGCTTTTATGATACCCTAGACAGAGCTGAGAGTATAATGTATGAATGGAGGGGAGTGGAGAAAGGGGAGGCCAAATGTTTGATGGGAATGGAGGGTCACTATTGGAGCCATTAGGAAATACACAAGCATGATTTGTGCTGAAGCACAGAACAGTGTTCCTGGGGAATATTGTGTTGCTTTGGGAGCTGCTGAACATACAGGAGTTTCACTGTTCTTAGTTCTCGAATTCTCTAGACTCTCTTGACAGCCCAATTTTAAATATTGGGAATATAGGTAAGACACATTCATGGTTAAAAATTCTTAAGTGAAGATGTAGGAAGAAATTTAAAGTAATCAATTTAGGTTATGAAAATTTAGTTATGGTGAACTGTGATGTCTGTTTCTCACATGGAATAATGGAATATAAGTAATTACTCATCTCAGTGGTTCATTTTCCCATAGCCATCAATTACAAAACTGCTGGATAATTTCCTGAATTGTCCACCCTAGAAGTTGACCTCACATTACCTCAGTGAGAAACCGCTAGTCTGGTTGATCCAGCCTCATTCTTCCCATCAGGAATTTTGTGTCTCTGTGCACATATGGCATAGTCCTGGTCAGGGTGGCAGAGGGAAGGAACTGAAGAGGGCATTGTCAGACCATTCTTCAGAGGAGGAGTGGAGAAGAATTGTGTCCCATTTCCCAGTTGGCTGTGTATCTGCATATGGCCTCGGGATTGCTGCCAGCCTATCCATGCATGATGAAGCTTATTTAGGGGACGAAGCCAGCATGCTGAGTGTTCAGTGCCGACAGCCAAGAGAATCAACTGCCTGGTGCATGCTGCTTTTATGAAAACAAGCCCAGGGCCACTTGCATTCTTCTGTATTAGATTCTCTAGTGAAGTTGTTTCTTCATTTCTGCTGAAACTGCCACATATAATTACCTAGAGGCATTACAATAAACTGATTGAGAGTTAACTGACTTCCTGGTGAGGTTAAAATGAGTGTCAGGTGCACAGTAAGACAGACAGGAGACATGGGAGCATAGCAAGCTTGTGTTCACCATGGTTTGTACCTTAACTTCTGTTTTGTACCTTCTGTACCTTCCTTAGATGTTCAGGCACTCCATTGAGGAGCCTGACAGAACATTATTTATTGATGGACCATAGCTCAAAATATAGAAATGGATATTACCGAGGAGAATATACTGTTACTACTTTATCTTTATCTTAAAATATACTCTTCCATCTGAGGTGAAAATTAATCCAGATGGTAGAACTTATTGCAGTTACTACAGCATTTTAGGAAATCAAAAGCTGCAGAACAAACATATGGACAGATGGCAGGTATGTTTTTGGAATCGTAAACAACTTTGCGATGATTGTAAAACCAAGGGGTGTCTCACAAGGGCTGGAAACCTCTCAAAATGAAACAACACACTGAGGATCTTTGAGAAGTACTCTGACCTCCAAGCGAGCTGGCTGATATGGAGGCTGAGCTACATGTAGAAAGCCAAAGGAATTTCTGCAGGACATCATCATGCCAAGCACAGCAGTAAACTGAGTCCCAGCCCTTTTCACACGCTCAATGGTTAGATCTTGGGAAGGAATCAAAGAAGCCATTGTAAAATATCAAAATTTAAACCCTGATTTTGAATTTAAAATGTGTTAACATATGGTTGTGGCCTACACTCAGAAAATCTGTCTCCTTCAGATGGTGTCTCAGTAGCACCACATGGTTTCAAGTGGCTATTCATTAAATTTCTCCATGAAACTACCAGATACAGAATAGATAAATTGTCACTGTCTTAAATCAACCCTTGGGAAAGGAAAACTGTGTAAAGACAGCAGAGAGGAAACATTGTTCAAGGGAAAAACAATCTCCAGAAACTGTTGTTAAAGAAACAGAGGCCCTCTTTCCAGCCAGTGCCGAGCGATGGACATCTCTTGGGACAACTGGCACAAGTGCCACAAAACCAGGGACAAGAGAAAGCCCTACCACAAGAAGCGGAAGTATGAGTTGGGGCACCCAGCTGCCAACACCAAGACTGGCCCCCGCCGCATCCACACAGTCCGTGTGTGGGGAGGTAACAAGAAATACTGTGCCCTGAGGCTGGACGTGAGGAATTTCTCCTGGGGCTCAGAATGTTGTGCTCATAAAACAACGATCATCGATGTTGTCTACAATGCATCTAATAACGAGCTGGTTCGTCCCAAGACCCTGGTGAAGAATTGCATTGTGCTCATTGACAGCACACTGTACCGACAGTGGTACGAGTCCCACTATGCGCCGCCCCTGGGCTGCAAGAAGGGAGCCAAGCTGACTCCTGAGGAAGAAGAGATTTTGAACAAAAAGCGATCTAAAAAAATTCAGAAGAAATATCATGAAAGGAAAAAGAATGCCAAAATCAGCAGTCTCCTGGGGGAGCAGTTCCAGCAGGGCAAGCTTCTTGCATGCATTGCTTCAAGGCCAGGACAGTGTGGCTGAGCAGATGGGTATGTGCTAGAGGGCAAAGAGTTGGAGTTCTATCTTAGGAAAATCAAGGCCCGGAAGGGCAAATAAATCCTTGTTTTGTCTTCACCCATGTAATAAAGGTGTTTATTGTTTTGTTCCAAAAAAAAAAGAGAAACAGAGGCATCACACTTACTAGAAAAACATATTCTATTTCATATATTATGGTGGTATGACGTGATGTTTTGACATATGCAGGCATTGTGAAATTATTAAATCAAGTAAATAAACATGCCCATCACCTCACATACTTATTTTTTATGGTGTAAACGTGTAAAATCTACTCTATTATCAGTTTTCAAGTATATAGTACATTAGTACCATGGAAGTCACCCTGCTGTGCAATAGATCTTCAAACTAATTCCTTCTGTCAAACCAAAACTCTGTACCCTTTCACCAATGCCTCAGCTTTCACATGCCCCTGACACCAGCCCCTGGTTGGCACCATTCTTCTCTCTACTTCTCTGAGTTCAACATTTTTAGATTGCATGTGTAAGTGAGATTATGGAGTAATTTTTTATACCTGGCTTATTTCACTTAACATAAAGAGTCAAATGCTCAACATCACTAATCATCAGGGAAATGCAAATTAAAACCACGATGAGATATCACCTCACACATGTTACAATGGCTTAGTCTCAGTCTGTCTTTGTGTTACTATAACCGAATACCAGAGACTGGGCAATTTCTAAAGAAAAGGAATTTATACTTTATGGTGCTTGAGTCAGAGAAGTCTAATATCAAGGCACTGACATCTCACAAGGGCCTTCTCACTGTGTCGTCTCACAGCAGAGGTGGGTGAGCAAGAGATCATTTGTCCACGAGAGAAAGGAGACTATCTTTTATTAGAAATTCACTCCTGTAATAACTAACCCACTCCAATGACAGTGACATTAATCCATTCATGAGGACAGAGCCTTCATGACCTAATCACATAATAAAGGTCCCACCTCTCAACACTGTTGCATTAAAGATTTTTTCCAAATCCTAAACTTTGGGAGACACATTTAAGTCATAGCATTCCATTCCTAATATCAAAATTTATGTCCTTATCACAATGCAAACTACATTCATTCCATCCCAATTGTCTCCAAAGTCTTATCCAGCATCAGTGCAAAAGTCTGAAGTCTAAAGTCTCATCTAAATCAGATGTGAGTGTGACTCAAGGCACAATTTAGCCTGATATAAATTTTTTCCATCTGTGAGCCTATAAAGTCAAAACAAGTTATCTACTTTCAAATACAGTGAACAATGGGGCAGGTATGGGATAGAAATTCCCATTCCAAAGCTCAGAGACAGGGAAGGAGAAAGCAGTGCCTAGTTCAAAACCCAACAGAGGAAAAAAACATTAAGTCTTATAGCTGAGACTTAATGTTTTTTTCCCTTGTTGGGTTTTGAACTAGTTCAACCATTGTAGAAGTCCTTGTGGTGATTCCTCAGGGATCTAGAACTAGAAATACCATTTGACCCAGCCATCCCATTACTGGGTATATACCCAAAGGACTATAAATCATGCTGCTATAAAGACACATGCACACATATGTTTATCGCAGCACTATTCACAATAGCAAAGACTTGGAACCAATCCAAATGTCCAACAACGATAGACTGGATTAAGAAAATGTGGCACATATACACCATGGAATACTATGCAGCCATAAAAAATGATGAGTTCATGTCCTTTGTAGGGACATGGATGAAATTGGAAATCATCATTCTCAGTAAACTATCGCAAGAACAAAAAACCAAACACCGCATATTCTCACTCATAGGTGGGAACTGAACAATGAGAACACATGGACACAGGAAAGGGAACATCACACTCGGGGGACTGTTGTGGGGTGGGGTGAGGGGGGAGGGATAGCTTTAGGAGATATACCTAATGCTAAATGACGAGTTAATGGGTGCACACACCAGCATGGCACATGTATACATATGTAACTAACCTGCACATTGTGCACATGCACCCTAAAACTTAAAGTATAATAAAAAAAAGTCTTATAGCTGGAAAATCATCCTCTTTGACGGCATCTTGTGCACACTGGGGAGGGGGAAGGGCCCCCAAGGCCTCCAGCAGTCTTGCCTCTATGGATTTTCTGGGTTCAGTCCACTCAGCCCCTCTCACAGGTGGGACTCTCAGGCCTCTAGCTCTCCTAGGCTGACTGGAAACTCTTTGTGGTGCCTCCAAACCCATATTTCTGCTTGGCATTGTGCTAAGGGTCCACTGTGGTGACTCTGTCTCTGCAACAACTCACTGCCCGAGACCTTAGGCTGTCCACAGCATTCTTTGAAATCTAGGTGGAGAAAGCCATGCCCTCGTGGTATTCTGCACACCTGCAGAATTAGCAATACATGGATGCCATGGAAGTTGATGACTTGTACCATTAAAGTGATGGCTTGAGCCACACCTAGGTCCTCCTGAGCCACATCATGGGCAGCCAAGGAGTGCTGTGCCTGGACACAGGGAACAGAGTCCTAAAGTGCCTGCTAGAAGTGAGGCCATAGATTTGCTTCAAATTTCTCCCACCATATATCCTCACTCATGGCTCTGAACTTCCACTTTACAGAAAGACCTAGGGATGAGCACAATTCAGCCACATTCCTTGCCACTTTAAGGGAAGGATGGCCTTTGCTCCATTTTCCGATGAGCTATTCTTCTTTTTCTCCTGAGACCTCATCAGAACGGCCTTTATTGTCCACGGTTCTACCAACATTCTAATGATCATCACCTAAATAATCTCTAAGAAGTTTCAGAATTTCCTCACAGCTGTCTTCTTCTGAGTCCTCAAAAGAATACCCCTAGTGTTCTAGTCATGGCAATCTAGACTTTTTATAACCTGATCCTCCAAATTATTCCAGTCTCTGTGCATTACTACTTCCACTTCTACATTTTGGGATATTTGTTATCACAACAGCCCCACCTCTTGATACTGATTTTTTGTCTTAGTCCACTTTGTGGTGCAATGAGTGAATACCACACACTGGCTAATGTGTAAGGAAAAGAAATTTATTTTCTCCCAGCTCTAGAGGCTGGGAAGTCAATGTCAAGGTGCTAGCATCTGGCAAGAGCCTTCTTGCTGTGATGCCCATGTGGAAGGCAGGAGAGCATGTGCAAAGGATGGAAAGGGGGCTAAACTCATTTTTTAATGAGGAACCCAGGCCTGTAGTAACTAATCTGCTACCACAATAAGTAACCTACTCTGATGATAATGGCATTAATTGCTTCATGAGGGCAGAGCCCTCTCGGCCTAATCATTTCTTAACATTCTCACCTCTGGACACTATGGAATTTGGGATTAAGTTTCCAATACACACCCTTTCTAAACAGCAGGGGCTTTTTAATAGGTTTACCACCCAAGGCTGCAGGAGGCTCTGAAGTAGTGGGTGGCTGTCCTTTGTGAGAATGGAGAGAAGTGAACTGACTGATGGAGACACAAGTAGATGAAGTAAAGGCATTCATTGCTTCATTACATGGATGGTGAGGGCGATTGAAGGCATTAACGGATTAAAGATGGTGGCAAAACCATCTGAGGTGGAGACCACGGGGAGCCCATCAGAAATGGAGGACACGTCCCAATAAATGGTGCTTCATTTCCCTGCAAAGCAGATGAAAGCAAAGAAGAAAACACAATGCCATAGTGTACACTGAGCAGTGGATTGAGAGAAGAGTTTCCTAAGGCGTAACTGACAGAGTGGAGAAGACACACGAATCTTTGCATGGTGCTAACATTTGGACTGTGGCTTCATTATTTCTTATTAATATTTTACTGAAATATCACTAGAAGGAGACTGAAAATGAAGTGTGAAAAGTTAAATGGGATTTCTGCTCTAAGTCCTTTTCAGATGAGAGGAACTGGGGAATTCCAGGGAAGAAACAATAATAGCTGCTGAGCAAGGCTTTTGCAGGGCAGGACAAGGAATCCCCAAAGAGAAAACGGAAACCTCAGCTTCACTTTGCATCTGCTCCTGAGCCAGGTCTTGAGCGACCCCTGTAGGTCCTGAGCGCCCCCGGTAGGTTCTGAGCATTCCGTGGTTGCTGGGCGCCCTCTGGTGGTGTCTGAGCCCTTCTGGTGGTTTCTGAGCCCCCCTCTTAGAGTCTGAGCCACCCTATTAGTGTCTGAGCCACCCTATTAGTGTCTGAGGACCCTGGTGGTGTCTGAGCACAGGTGAGCTCCTCTGAAGGAAGGGTCTACATGGGGACAGGCGTGCTTGTCTCAGGGAAGGGTCCACATGGGGACAGGTGAGCTCATCTGAGGGAAGGGTCCATGTGGGGACAGGTGTGCTTGTCTGAAGGAAGATTCCACATGGAGACAGCTGTGCTTGTCTCAGGGAAGGGTCCACATGGGGACAGGTGAGCTCGTCTGAGGGAAGGGTCCATGTGGGGACAGGAGTGCTTGTCTCAAGGAAGGGTCCTCACGTGGACAGGTGTGCTCTTTTGAGGGAAGGATTGACCTGGGGACAGGCATGCTTGTCTGAGGTAAGGGTCCACCTGGGGACAGGTGTGATTCCCTCAGGGAAGGGTCCACGTGGGGACAGAGGTGCTTGTCTAAGGCAAGAATCCACGTAGCGACAGGTGAGTTCGTCTCAGGGAGGGGTCCAGGTGGGGCGAGTTGTGCTTATCTGAGAGAAGCATCGAAGTGGGGACAGGTGTGCTTGTCTCAAGGAAGGGTCCACGTGGGGACAGGTGTGGTAGTCTCAGGGAAGGGCCCACATGGGGACAGGTGTGCTCATCCGAGAGAAGGGTCCATGTAGGGACAGGTGTGCTTGTCTCAGGGAAGGGTTCATGGGGACAGGTGAGCTTGTCTGAAGGATGGGTCCACATGGGGACTGGTGTGCTCCTCTGAGGGAAGGGTCCACGTGGTGACAGGTGAGTTTATCTGAAGGAAGGGTCCACATGGGGACAGTTATGCTCCTCTGAGGGAAGGGTCCATGTGGGGACAGGTGTGCTTGTCTCAGGGAAAGGTCCACGTGGGGACAGGTGTGCTCGCCTTGGGGAAGAGGACAGATGAGCTCATCTCAGGGAAGGGGCCACGTGGGGACAGGTGTGTTTGTCTCAGGGAAGGGTCCACATGGGTACACCTGTGCTCCTCTGAGCAAAGAGTCCACATGGAGACAGGTGTGCTTGTCTGAAGGAAGGGTCCACGTGGGGACAGGTGTGCTCCTCCAAGGGAAGGGTCCATGTGGGGACAGGTGTTCTTGTCTCAGGGAAGGGTCCACGTGGGGACAGGTGTGCCCCTCTGAGGGAAATGTCCACGTGGGGACAGGTGTGCTTGTCTCAGGGAAGGGTCCACGTGGGGACAGGTGTGCTCGTGTGGAGGAAGGTTCCACCTGGGGACAAGTGTGCTTGACTCAGGGAAGGGTCCACTTGGGGACATGTGTGCTTCTCTCAGAGAAGGGTCTACGTGGGGACAGGTGTACTCATTTGAGGGAAGGGTCCACGTGGGGACAGGGGGGCTCATCTGAAGGAAGGATCCACGTGGGGACAGGTGTCCTTGTCTCAGGGAAGGGTGCACGTGGGGACAGATGTGCTCATCTGAAGGAAGGATCCACGTGGGGACAGGTGTGCTCCTCTCAGAGAAGGGTCCACGTGGGGACAGGTGTGCTTGTTTGAGGGAAGGGTCCACCTGGGGACAGGTGTGCTCGTCTGAGGGAAGGGTCCACCTGGGGACAGGTGGGGTCATCTCATGGAAGGGTCCACGTGGGGACAGATGTGGGAGAGGGTGTGCCTGGTCTGAACTGGAGTTTGAGGGAAGAATTTCTCGAGCAAGTGTGAATCCTGAACATGACCTGTTTTTCAGGAAGGAAAGCAGACCACATGGAAGCAGATGAAGGAAAAAGCAGACCACGTGGGAGCCGGATGAAGGGAAGGTTTCTATGAAATTGAAACAGCCTATCTGCCAGTGGAGAAAGTTATTTCATCCTTTTTTGCCTGCAGTGAGAAAGGGGGAAATCAGAGCCACAGAGAAGAGAATGAAATGTCCCTGAGGACATCTGAGAATTAGAGAAAAGAAAGCCTCAGATTCTAAGGAGAAGTCCTCGCCACTTCCCATCTGAGCCTGCTCTTCAGTGGACCCAAGTGTCGAGTGCATCCTGCACATCTCAGGCCCCCAGGAGGGAGGGTCCTGTCTGGGTTCACACGGCATCCCCTCACTGTGTCTCCCACAGGAATACCTGGCTGTCCTGTGGGTTCCTGGAGCTCCGCCGCAGGGAGCGCTGCTTGTTGGATGAGTCTCTGGATGGAGATGAGGCTCTTGAGAGGCGGCGGTTGTTCGTGTTTCTCTTATAATCGATGCTCCTCAGCCAGTGCAACCCCTTGTCTAGGGGCCGGTGGACCGGGCCTCCGCAGTAACCACTGGCTGTGATGGAGAATCCGGAGTCGTGCCAGGTGAGGAAGGGGGCAGCCACGGCTTCTCCAGTCTTGAGCCTCACTCCTGCTGCTGCACCTGGGACAGGACAGCTGGGAACAAGAACAGTCAGTCCCTGTCAGTCATGGGACATCACAGTTATTGCCACAGCCCGTGTCTGGCCTCTGAGATGCTCACCTTCGGGAGGTGTCAGCAGGCACAGGAGAAGGCCCAGCAATCTCATCTTCTTCTGAACCCACCTTTGTCTTCCCCAGAGACACCGTCCCAGTCTGAGAAGTGACTGGATGCTTCCACAGCCCAGGGGTGGATTTTACCCCAGAGCTAAAACAAAAAATTACACGGGGTGGATGACTATTTATTTATTTATTTATTTAGAGACAGAGTCTCGCTCTGTCGCCCAGGCTGGAGTGCGGTGGTGCAATCTCGGCTCACTACAACCTCTTTCTCCCGGGTTGAAGCGATTCTCCTGCCTCAGCCTCCCTAGTAGCTGGGATTACAGGTGCCCAGCAGCATGCCTGACTAATTTTTGTAATTTTAGTAGAGACAGGGTTTTGTCACTTAGCCAGGCTGGTCTCAAACTCCTGACCTCATGTGATCTGTCTGCCTCGGCCTCCCAAAGTGCTGGGATTATAGGCATGAGCCACCGTGCCCAGCCTAGCTGACTCTTTTTATAAGTAGAAAAGTTAAGATATGGCCCCTACCTCCTGGTAGTTGAGCGTTGTGTAGAGTGCCTTTCCTCCTAAACTCATGTGGCACGCATGTCACTTGACATTTGGTGGTTGGAGGACACTTGGTCTGCGAGACAAATGGGAATAGGCAAAGGACAGCCCTGCCATTCTGATCCCAGGGCTACTTTCCTTCCAACCCCTCTTCCCTCCTGCCCTTCCTTGTTTCTAGCGCAGCTCCCCCTATCCACAGGCCCAGGTCTTGCTTCCTCAGTGCTGAGCCCAGCACAGCTCCTGGGCTCTTTCCTTGGGTCCCACCTGTGGTGTGGCTCTCCTCACCCATGGAGCTTTGGACAACATCACATTACTGTCTCAGGAGCTCTACGCCAGCCCTGCACTCTAACCCATTCTGTGATGCCAGAGACAAGGACCTCAGGACCTACCGGGGCTGGATAAAATAATGTTCTTTGATTTACTCAGGAACTAATTCTCAATAGTTGGGGGAAGAGACAGACACATCCCTTTTTAAGTACTCCATTATCCAGACATTTAAAATGCATCTAAAGTGTGAGGATTTCTACTCTAAATGCATCTCTTCCTCTTGTTCTCTTGAGGCTATTCCTGTATATGAATTACTCATTACCTCAACTCATTACTGATAACACTTTTTTTGGAAATTCATTCATAATAAATAATATGAAAGCAGTACCAATGTCCTCATATACAACTTTTAAAGTTTGTATTGTGATAAGAATACCTACCATGAGATACACTCTCTCAGCAAATTTTTAAGTGTACTGTGCAGTCAAGTTATCTAGACTCAGGATTCTGTGCATCCAGTCTCCAGAACTTATTCATCTTGCAGAACACCAATTTTATACACACAAATTAGCAACTTACAGCTGTTTTGTTTTGGTTTTGTTTTGATTTTGGGGGGCAATTTTTAGGATTTTCTACATACAAGACATGTCATCTGTAAACAGTGACACCTTTACTCCTCTCTTTCTGATTTAGTAACTTTTTCTTGCCTAAGTTCTCTGACTAGGACTTACAATACTATGTAGAACAGAATTGGTGAGATAGGGCATCCTTGTCTTCTCCATCATCTAAGTGGAAGCTTGTTCAGTGTTTCAGCATTGGCTATGATGCTAACTGTGGGCTTTTAAATATGGCTTTCAATATGTCCAGATAATTTCCCTTTATTTGTAGTTTGTTAAGAGGTTTTATCATGGAAAGATGTTGAAATTTGTCAAATGATTTTTATGCATCTGATGAGATAATATTTTAGTCTTTCATTATGTTAATGTGGTCCATCAGATTCAGTGATGTTTAGATGTTGCACCATCCCAATATTCCAGAGAGACATTCCACTGGATCATGGCAAATGATCCTTGTAATGTGCTGTTCAGTTTGATTTGCCAATATTTTGTTGAGTACTTTTTGCATCTTTGTGTTTCAGTAAGAGTGGTCTGTAATTTATGTTAATTTGGTGTTTGCCTGGTTTTGATTTCAGGGCAATGCTGACTTTATAAAATAAGTTTAGAAGTATTTCTTCATCTTAAAACTTTTGGGAGGTCGAGATGGGTGGATCACAAGGTCTGGAGATCGAGACCATCCTGGCTAACAAGGTGAAACCCCATCTCTACTAAAAATACAAAAAATTAGCCGGGCATGGTGGTGGGCACCTGTCATCCCAGCTACTCAGGAGGCTGAGGCAGGAGAATGGCGTGAACCTGAGAGGTGGAGCTTGCAGTGAGCAGAGATCATGCCATGCACTCCAGCCTGGGCAACAGAGCGAGACTCCATCTCAAAAAACAAACAAACAAACAAACAAAAAAACTTTTGGAAGTGGTTCCAAGCTCGCTTTCGATTACTGATTCAGTCTTTTACTAGTAATAGTTCTGTTTCTACTTTTTCAAGATTCAATCTTGGAAGATTGTACATATCTAGGAATTTATCCATTTCTTCTATGTTATCCATTGCTGAGTATACAATTTATTTTTAGTAAGCTCATGAGATAAATGGCCAAACATTAAAAAACGGAGTGAGGGAGTCAGGGACAGACAGGAGACAGTTGAAAGAAAGAAAAATACATTTCAGTCTCCTAGAGTTAGAAGGAATTCTAGAAGGTTTTGTTTAAGATAACAAAAGTGTAGGAATTCCTTATGCTGTGGCTGGGGGCATCCTGGAGAGATGCTGCTGCCTGGAGGCCCAGGCCCCTTCCTGTCCTGGCTCATCATCAGGCTCAGAGGAACTCGAGACCTTAGGGAAAGAGGAGCAATAGAGGGGAAATATTAGCATAGGTTCCAAAAATGAAAAGGAACTAAATAATCATGAAACTACATATAGATATTTTATATAAATGTAATTATTATAAAATTATAATAGTATATTTCTAATATAATTATGACAGTATTATAATTATTTATATAATTATAACAGTATTATAATTATTTATATAATTATATATCACTTTGGTATATATAATGTATATATATAACTAAATTTAAATAAATGTCCATCATTTGACCAATTAGAAATCCAAAGTTTATATACAAAATTCTGTACTGAAATAACTTCTAAGACAAAAATTGAAAATGAAGCTGGTTGGCTTCGTGCCCCTCTACACTACAGGTTCTAGAGAGGGGAATCTAGATCCTGCAGCAGGCAGAAGAATGCCCCCCAAAGATGCCCATGCCATAGTCCTGGGGCTCTACAAAGACATCACCTGCAGGGCCAAAGGGACTGGGCTGACGTGATAGAGGCCCTTGGATGTTACAGTCACCCTGGCCTGTGCATGCCATATGCCCTGGGGTCCTGATGAGGAGAAAGAGGAGCAGCAGAGTCCAAGACTGGGGAGGTGTGGGATGGAAGCGGAGGTCAGTCACACAGCCACCAGCCGGGGAACGCAGGCGCCCCTAGGAGCTGGCAAAGGCAAGAGATAGATTCTCCCAGATAACTCTAGAAGGAAGCAGCATGGCTGGTGCTCAAGTCTTTAGTTCTGTGAAACGCCTTCCAGACTCTGACCTTGGAACTGTATACTGGTCCATTGTAATTTCACTTTAGCATTTTTGGGATTGCACCAATTGGCAAACTTTGTGATCAATACCAGGGCTCCAATAATAGCTATACCTAGGAAATTCATTAGATTTCAAGATTTAAACATGTATCCCATGTGAACTTAAGATAATTAAATAGAAATCAATATATTTGGAAGAAGAAATAGACACACCGCACTTTAGCGGTTGCCTTGCCTAGATTTCACATGATCATAATGTCCTTTGTCCTAAAATATCTCATATTGGGCATACACTCTGACACAATGAATTAAATTAAAATGGAATGAGGTGTTTGGCACTTGTGCATTGGCTTGATAAAATGGAACTCAAAGAGTTCCAGTTTATGTAGTTAATATATTCCAACAGAAGTGAAAATGGACCTTCGAAGATTAAAAACTATTATACAAATCTAATCAATAAAGAGGTGATTTTTCCCATTGCTTCTCTATTTCACAGCCAAATCTTGCCTGTTCTTAAACCGGTGAAGAAGAAAAGACAATAGCATGAAGGTTGCCCTATGTTGGATTGTCACAACTTTCATGCCGTGGCCCCACCCATTAGGGCCCCATACTCCCAATGTTCTCAAAACGACTGGCTTTAACCAACAGCCAGTGCAGACTTTGCTCTTCCAGATGTGTCTAATTGGTTGTACTCAGCGCCCATCTCAGCAGCCCCTTAGCTGCAGATTGTCTTTGCCTGGGAAGGACACCCTTCTCAGGATACGCGGGCACCTCAGCGGCGTGGCCACCACATGAGAGCTTCGCAGGCTGGCTCCTCACTGCATCTGCCTTCCTCCGCAGCACTGCTGACACCTCCTCTGAGGAGATGCTCCCCATACTTTCATTAAGGACATACAAATGCCACATCCTGCTGTTCCTTGTGGGTTCTGGTGCAACATATTCCTCACCCATAAATTTCAACTAGCCTCGCTGTTGTTGCTACTTATAAATCACCTCCCCTAAATGAAATTTCCTTCAACAAAAGGCTCAACAGTGTGCCTAATTTAAAATCAACAGGCTCTTCTGTTAGTATCCTCAGAAACTCCTTCACTAAAGAAACTTGGCAAACCCTTCTCATGCCTCCTGGTGTCTCTGGGCGATCAATGTGGCCTTAAGATGCTCGACAGTTTCCAAGGCAAGTAACTGCTCCCTTTGGCCTTGGACTATAAATCATTCAACTGAACATTGCTGTCTACAACCTGGACTATTTGGACACATCCAGCTAACTATTGTGTTTGGGGTCACGGGAACAGCACCCCACACACTTAGCATGGCTCCAGAGGCCTTCTTAAGACAGGATAAAGCAACACCCAGGCCCTCTGTCATTTCTGCTTGCAGCAGGACTGGCTTCCTATATCCACAGTCACCTGGCAGGTGCCCAAGTGCTGGAGGAGGCCACCTCTCGGCCACATGGGAAGAACGCTGGGACTCACTGAGTGGACAGTGACTGGCATTTGCGGGCTGCAAGGATGACAAGTGATGGGGCTTGGGGCATGCTTCTGCTCTCCCTCTCTTGGCCATATGTCCCAACAAAGGATGGGGCTGGGGATCCCCAAAATTAGGCAGACATCAGGCAGTCACACCAGCATTGGGTGCCCTATCGAACCAATGGCTCCATTTCCACATTTATTATAAACAGCTCAGACGTTGTTTAAGAGCTGTCTTCAGGGTAAGGAAATCTGAAAGTCTCTTGCCTCCCAGACACTGAAAATATAAATCAAGTGGCTCATATCTCTGCACATAATAAGTTCACAATACGAGGCTTTGGTGGGACACTAATGTCCTTCAAAATTGCATACTTTGCTGACAGTAACCAAGTCACACATTTTACTTTTCAAAACACACAATGCTGGATACAGAAAAAGCCACTTGATAGAACTTCATGCCTCTTAGGCCCCATTCAATAGAACTTAATTATGGGCTGGTTTAACTCAGAGACATACTGATCTCCTCAAACAATTCCTTCAAATTCCACTCCAGTAAATGGACACCCAATGGATCTCCAACTTCTGTAGAACTAACTCTCCCTAAATTCAAGGCTCTTAGCTGAGTCGCCCTCATCCCAGCTTTCAGGACTTCTCCATCACCCTTTGAGATACTTATAGGCTTATATTCATTGCATTATTGAGGCTATTTAAAATATTATTTCCATATCTTTACAAATGTTTGATGTTGCTCTTATCTCATAAGGGCTGGAGAACCTATTGAGGGTAAAAACTCTCCTCGGATGATTAGCCATAGAGGGTCCCGTGGGTCAGTCGGCTGCTCATCTGATATGAGCCCATTTGAACGTAAAGTTCCACAAAAACAAACTCAAAAAACAAATGAAAACAACATCAACACCTGCCAACTGCAGCCAAGCACCCCTCTGTTGACTGCTGGTCTCACCATTGTCCATGTGGCTGCTTGTATTGTGGACTTATTTGTTATAATCCAAAGGGCAGAAACCTCCAAATAGGCCATCACTTCAACCAAACACGGCAAGTGCTGATAGCCAGTCAGTCCGCTTGAGCACATGCCCACCTGGAAAGGACACCCTAGTACCCCATCCTAGAGCACATCGGCCTGGCCCAGGGCTCAAAGCTGGAGGTGGCTTTGGCTTTTCCCCGGCGAGCTGGAGACAGTTGTGCCCTAAACCTTAACACCAGTCATGGCCTGGGAAGTCTCTCAATGAAACAATAAGGCATTGGACATGCCTTGCTTTTGTCCCTTGGATACTAGGGATCCTATTGTGCTCCCTGAGCTTGCTGTCCATTTGGTCCAGGATCCCAGTGCACTCCTTGCTGTTTGCCACAACATGCTACACTACATTTCTGTTCATACAGAGAAATCTGATAGTGGTTACTACCATCTCTGTCAGTCTGAAAATCAGCAGAGGTCATTGCTGCACACAAAGGAACCTGCCTCATATCCATCAACCCTTTGACACCATGAGGAGAGAACCACCCACTCCCCAGTAACTTTTCCCACTCCCAACCCGCATCTCTGAACTACGACCACCACCAACACTTCCACCTTTTGATTACCACTAATCTTGAGAAATAATTTACTAACCCATCCATCCATGCACTCCAACAATGTGACTAGAGGACCTGCCACCTTGACCCAAGAAAGACACCAAAATATTATTGTTAGAAAAATACATGCATAAAGAAATTTATAACTGCACCAAGACATTGTTTGCGACCCCAGCTGTCTCAGACCAGGTTTCTTGGCTGTCATACAAATGGGAAACCTATTTATGGGCTGGCTGGCAGCGACTCTTGATACTTCTACTTGTGTTCCTCCTCTCTACTCTCACAGTAAAATGTTTTCTATATCCTTTAGGGCAACTGATGTAGCCACACTCTGTAAACTCTTCAGCATCAACACTCCAAAAATTCCTTCACATGACATGAAACCATCAGAGGTTGGGTTGGGTTAATCCTGTGTCCTTATTCTCCGTGTTTATGATACTCTGACATCTTGGAGTCTTGTGGAACTGGGGAGGAAAAGCCTGTCCCAGGATTACTTAATTTCTAGAAGAAACACTTGCTGGTGAGCACACCTTTCCTGTGCAAACCAGGGCATACGGGCCCATTCTCCCCACCTGTTTATCTGACTCACACAACAAGCCAACATTTCCTCTGCCCTAAACCCCCAAGGGGCAGGTACAGGACAAGGAGAGATGGCTCCAATAGGCCAGAGCCCATCGCGTTTTTCAGCATCCCATGCCATGCCGGTTGGAAGCTCGTCCACCCGCCTCCCTCATCCCTTCCCCTGGAAGCTGAAGAAGGCTGTGCTGCTGCCGCCTCCCTGCTCCCCTTCAGGGCTTTCTGGGCAAGGCTTACAGTTCCAGGAGGATCCAGCCCCCCGTGTGGAGGTGCTCTCCAGGTCCTGAGACTTCAGTGCAAGATGAAGGTGTGCTTTGCACGTGGGAGGCCTCAGTCATAAGCAGGGAAGGTCCAGGGGAGGCCTCAGTTTCTGATTCAGGAGCTGGAGAAGGAGGAGGCCTTATCTGCTCCCAGGAATGACCCTCCCTCTTCTGAGTGCCCCGCCATCTGGGGCTCCAGGTCAGAGAAGTGCCAGCCACAAGAGGGAACTTGGAAGGTGTGGAAATGAATTCTGCTCTCAGGAGAAAACCCCACTGATGAAGACATGCTTGCCTTTTCCTTCTCTCCTCCTGGGCACCCTTGCCCTAGGGCCCGCCTCTCCCTTCATCCCCCTGAGGGAACTTTGAGCAGAGTGTGGGCCCAGAGGCCACAGGTCAGGGACATGAGCTCAGCGCTATGGGGATGCACAGCCTTGGGCAGTCAGTGGATGCTTCCTGGTGGGGCCTCGCCTCTGAATGGCCACATGAGTCATTCCTGCCCTGGACAGTAGAGAACCCGAGCAGAGGATGGCCCTCCCAGCAGGATTTGACTGTGAGCATTCCGTGAGCATAGCTCATTTCTCAGAGCTGAGAGGGTGGTCCTGACTGGCTTGCGCCCTCCCAGTGCACCTCTGTGTCCTCTCCACGCTGCCTGCCTCCCCAGGGCCTGGGCAGCCCCTACCTCCTGCTGATTTCCCTCAGCCCAGCTCCTGCTCGGGGGGAGCCCTGCAGAGCCCTCACTGGGCACCTCTCTCAGAGGCACTGGGCCCCACAGGTAACTGAGCAGGTGCAGCCATCGCTCAGTACAGCTCCTGGGGACAGGTCAGGTGGGTTAGGCTGGGGCTCTGGTGAGGTCAGGCCACACCACCCAGGGGAGACAAGAGCTGAGACACCTCACTTCCCATGTCTCTCTTTTCACGTCTCTTAGGGCAGTCTTCCCCCAGCTGTGTAGCTCAGGAAGAACTCTCAGGGTTCATGTGGAGAAAGAGGCTGTGACCACCCCAGAGGCCTCTTCTCCAGTGAGAAGCAGGGGGACACCCCGGAGGAGCAGACATTCTAAGGCTGCCCGTGAGCCCTGCAACTGGCTCTGTTCCCAGCAGGGAGGTGGAGAGGATGCCACTCAGGAATCACCTCGGAGCCCCGAGAAGAGGGAGGTCTAGATGTTGATTTCTTGGGAAAGGGCTGTGAGCTCAAAGATGGGCTTAGGAATATGGATCACAGAAAAAAATTTGATGTGCAAAAATGAAAAAAAATATGACTTTTATTAAATCATAAAACTGTGATGAAACAGCTGACATCAGTGGAGCAGCCTGCACATTTTCCATCCAGGCATCGTTGAGTCTAGATACGTGTCCCAATTATAGACCATCCAGTCATCCAGGGCTGCCACTTGCAGATGGAAAATTGTACTATTTTCAATCATGCACTGAGGTTTGAATTACTTCACAGACTGAACCAAACAAACATGGGCTCCATTGAAGAGTGTCTGGCATTTGTTTCAACCACAAGAGAACTTTCCCCAGCTCTCCCTCATTCTCGGTTCTCTCCTGCAAGCCAGCAGCCCTGCAGTGTAGCCTGCATCTCCCATGCATCCACCCATCTCCTTCCAAGGGCTTTCCACCACACCATCCACTGTTTTTGAGAGCACTGGCAGGCTTTCAATTTGTCCACATTCTGTTGTTACTGAAGTTAGGATTTTTAGGACTAATTAAGGATCATATTTTATGACTGAATTCCATTGCTCCCTCTCTCCTGGGACAGAGCTCCTAAACAAGGTTCTGCAGGTGTAGACAAAGTTGAGCTGTTTTATTCCTCAGCCTAGGAGCTGAGCTCTCAGTGGAGGGTCGGGCAGGAGCTTCCCACCTTCTCAGCACTTCGGTTATTGTGGGGTGGAACCTCTGCCATAGGACAGAGCTAGAAACCAGAGACCCAGTGTTCCCAGTGGCACTGGACCCGGGGCAGAGCCTCCATCCATGAGTGGGGCTCCATGGAAGAAGTGAGTCTCTGGCTCTCGGTAGCTCTTGTTCAGCACTGAACCTCAGCATCATGTGCTGTGTGCAGGGTCAGAGGGCCAACGTACTGGGCCCTGGGGAAGAGTTTCCTCTGGTGGGAGTTGGTAGAAGGTGTCCTGTCTTCTTGGCTGCATCTGTCGGCAGTGGAGTTTACATCATGCTGAGCTGGGATGTGGAAGGAAGGAAGATCATCTTAGATCAAGCATGATGACTGGCCTTACCGAGTTTTCTAGATTTTCTTGAATAAATATTTCTTCACTTGCTTTATGCTGTTAGAGCCTTTCCAAACCCTGTAATTTTTCAAAATAATTTTCACTGGTCTCATGAGGGCCTGGATTCACTGAAACCCTCATGCTGTCGAAGAGAAATAGAATTTTTTTTCACTTTTTAGAGAACACCCATGCGTTATAAAATAATGGGTTGACTTTTCATCCAACACTTTACAGATACCATCAACTTTCCTCTTGCTTGTAAGGTTTTAACCAGAAGAATGCTGTCATCATCTTTTCTGTTCTTTTGGAAGGAATGCCCCCTCTGCTCACCTCCACTTGCCTGCATATATTTCTATTTGTCTTTCCTTTTCAGCAGTTTTAATAAGATTTACCTAAATGTGTGTGGGGGGATCAGTGGGTGTAATTCTGCTGTTCTGTGTTCTCTGAGATGCATGGATTCACGGTTTACTCTGTCTCCATTTTGGGGAACACAATTAGAAAAAATGTCAGTATGAGCCCAGAAACAAGCCTCCCTGAAGAGGGAACAGGACCACCTGGGGACGCTCAGGACCCACTGAGCACAAGAGCCAGCCTCAGGGCAGGTGCAGAGGGAGGTTAAGGTCTGGTTTCCTGTCAGCCCTGTGGCTTCCTCTCCATGAAACAGTTTCCTCCATGAAACAGTTTCAGAATATGTGCCATGGGGTGATGAGAAGAATGTATATTCTGTTGCTTTTTGGTGGAGAGTTCTGTAAACATCTATCAGGTCCATTTGATCCAGTGCTGAGTTAAGGTCCTGAATATCTTTGCTAATTTTCTGCCTAAGTGATGTGTCTAATACTGTCAGTAGGGTGTTGAAGTCTCTCATTATTATTGTGTGTGAGTCTAAGTCTCTTTGTAGGTTTCTAAGAATTTGTTTGAACAGGGTGCTCCTGTGTTAAGTGCGCGTATATTTAGGATAGTTAGCACTACTTGTTGAATTGAACCCTTTGCCATTATGTCATTACCCTTTTTTGTCTTTTTTTATCTTTGTTGGTTTAAAGTCTGTTTTGTCTGAAATTAGGATTACAATCTCTGTATTTTTTATGTTTTCTATTTACTTAGTAGATTTTCCTCCATCCCTTTATTTTGAGGCTATGGGTGTCATTGCATATGAGCCTATGGGTGTCATTGCATGTGAGCCTATGTGTGTCATTGCATGTGAGCCTATGCGTGTCATTGCATGTGAGCCTATGCGTGTCACTGCATGTCTCTTGAGACAGCATACCATTGGGTCTTGCTTTTTTATCCAGCTTATCACTCTGTGCCTTTTAATTGGGGCATTTACCCCTTTTACATTCAAAGTTAGTATTGATATGTGTAGATTTGATCCTGTCATCATGCTGTTAGTTGGTTACCATACATACTTGTTTGTGTGGCTGCTTTCTAGTGTCATTGGTCTATGTACTTCAGTGTATTTTTGAAGTGGTTGGTAATGATATTTCCTTTTCTTATTTAGTGCTTCCTTCAGGAGCTCTTGTAAGGCAGGTCAGTCTGGTAGTAACAAATTCCCTCAGCATTTGCTTGTCTGAAAAGGATCTTATTTCTCCTTCACTTATGAAGCATAGTTTGGCTAGATGTAAGATTCTAGTTTGGAATTTCTTTTCTTTAAGAATCTTGAATATTGGCCCCCAACCTCTTCTGGTTTGTAGAGTTTTTGTTGAGAGGTCTGCTTAGTCTTATGGGCTTCCCTTTGTAGGTGACCTGACCTTTCTCTCTGGCTGCCTTTTGCATTTTTTTCTTTCATTTCAACCTTGGAAAATCTGATAATTATGTGTCCTGGAGGTGATCTTCCTGTGAAGTACCTTAAATGGGTTTTTGTATTTTCTGAATTTGAATGTTAGCCTCTCTAGCTAGGTTGAGGAAGTTCTCATGAATGATATCCTGGAATATGTTTTCCAAGTTGCTGCCATTCTCCCCATCTCCTTCAGGGACACCAGTGAATCATAGATTTGTTCTCTTTACATAAACATATTTATCAGAGGTTTTGTTTCTTCCTTTTCATTCTTTTTTCTCTATTCTTGTCTGCCTGTCTTGTTTCAGAATGCCAGTCTTAAAGCACTAATATCATTTCTTCTGCTTGGTCTATTCTGCTGTTAATAGTTGTGATTGCATCATGAAATTTTTGCAGTGTGTTTTTCAGTTCTATCAGGTCAGTTATGTTCTTTTCTATACTGTCTATTTTGTCTGTCAGCTCCTGCATTGTTTTATTGTGATTCTTAGCTTCCTTGGATTGGGTTTCAACATACTCCTGTACCTTGTTGCTCTTCATTTCTATCCATACTCCAAATTCTATTTGTGTCACTTCAGCCAACCCAGTTCAGTTAAAAACTTTTGGTGGAGAGCTGGTGGAGGCATTCGGAGGAAAGACAGCATGCTGGCTTTTTGACTTGTCAGAGTTCTTGCACTGTTTTTTTCTCATTTTTGTGGGCTAGTGTTTTTTCAATCTTTGAAGCTCTTGTCCTTTGGATTTTTTTTTATCTTATTAGATGACTTTGAGAGTTTGATTGTGTTATAAAGTGGGTTCAGTCAACTGGCTTTATTTCTGGAAGATTTTGGGGACCAAGGTTCAGCTGTCATCTCCCCAGCTGCATGTTTTAATTCTGGGGGACTTATATCCTACCCTACTTTGTTCTCTGACTTCTCAAGATTATGAACAGACTGTGATGGGGGTGCTAAGGTGCTCCTGGACTGCTGGTCACTACACGTTGATGGAATGGTGCTAGTCAAAGGGTTTTGTAGTGTGGTGGCAGTAGGGGGGGGGGGTCTGTCCTCATTCACAGGTGCCCTCAGCAGCACCAGAACCAGCAGTATTAAATCAGGATGCATGCTTGTCAGCTGCAGCAGACTGCTAGCAGGTGCTGAGATGCCTGCCTCCATGAAGGCATTGACAGCAGGGGTAGAGTCAGCATAACTTGGGGGGTCAGCAGGCCCCCATTGGTGACTGTGTGCATTGGTGCACTGATGGTGGTGTTAGTATGGGGGCAGGACACTGGTGGGTTCAGGTGTGTGTGCACCCTCTGTGGCTACTCAGGGCAGGGGAGGGTTCATTGTTTTCAGTGCCTAGTTTCATTCTGGTGGCAGTGTTGGCACAGGGGCAGGTCACTGACAGAGGCAGGACTGGTGGGCTCTGTGCCCACTACAGCTCTGACTGCAATGGTAGTATGGCCGAGGAAGGGGAGCAGAGTGCACTCCTGCTGGCAGCAGAGGCAGGGCAGCGTACACGTGCTCACACAAGCTGGTGGTGAAGGGAAGGGAAAATCCACCTGCACACATACAAGCCAGCCAAATGATGTCAGGGGGCAGGGGTGGTTGGCCATGGGCTTGGAAGAAGCTGCAGCAGAGGGAGGGAGCAGGCAGGTTGGTGCATGGCCCTAGGGGCCACCCCGCTGGAGCTCTCCACCAATTAGATATGGTCTGCCATTGCAGAAGCTAAGATGCGGGTCCCCAGGGAACCTGAGTCTGTACTGCAAGCAGAAAAAAACCAGGCTGGAGCACTGGGAGAGGTCAGCAGACCAGGGGGTACTAAGGTTGGATCTGCCCCATCTGATGGGAAGACTGCCCTGCAGAATTCATATCTGACAGTTCCCCTAGGGCTAAAGTCTCCTATGGAGGCAAGTCAAGTCTGGAGAGATGGGTATCCCTGGCCGTGCTCTGCTATAGATGTTCCTGCAACAAACCCTCTGGGCTCCATATCGGCTACCATGCTGCTCCTACCACTCCTCTAAGCACTTCCCCTGCCAACTCTGTGTCTGTAGTGGTTGAGGGGTCTCCTCCCGGTGGGATTCCAGAGGCTTGTGGCAAGAGTAGGTTGCTTCTTGCCAGTTCAACTCACCCATTCCCCCAAAGTTCTTGGGGGTGAGGAACGAGTCCCATTGCACGGTAGCCCCACCCAGCTTCTGCCCAGCTTTTGTGTCTTGAGGACCTGTTAGGACTGTGCCAGTCATCCCAGTCCCACAGTGACAGCTGTTCTATCTGTCTGCAACTAGTCAGACATCTTGACCAAATTGGAAGTTTCTTACAAAGCTGAGCATAGCCTTACCATATGATCACACTCCCAGGCACTTACCCAACTGATTTGAAACATGTGTACACAAAAACCCAGTCATGAATGTTTACAGCAACTTCATTCCCTAACAGCCAAAAATTGGAGACAATCACAATGTTCTTCAACGAGTGTATGAATAAACAAACTGTGCTATATTTACAATAGAATGTTATTCAGCAATAAAAAGGTCATTAACTACCAAGCCATAAAAAAGCATGAATGAATCTTAAATGCATAATGCTAGCTGAAAGAAGCCAGTTTTGAAAGGTTATATACTGTATGACTCCAATTGTATGACATTCTAGAAAAATTAAAACTATAGAGACAGTAAAAGACTGGTGGTTACCAAGAGTACAAGGAGAAGAAAGAAGAGTGGAATAATTTAAGTTGAAGAACAATTTAGGGTGAAGAAATTATTCTTTCTAATGCTGTAGAAATGAATACATGATATTATAAATATGTCAAAAATTATAGAAAAAACTTAATTTGTGTAAGTTTTAACAACTATACTACAACAAATTGAATAACCTTGAAGAAATAGATAAATTTCTGGACACAATTTGTCAAAATTAAATTAAGAGGAAATAAAAAATCTTAACCGATCAATAAGGAATAAAATTGAATCAATAGTTTCAAAAATCTCACAGCAAAGAAAAGCCCAGGACCTAATGGATTCTGTTTTAAATTTTACCAAACATTTGAAAAAGAACTAATACCAATTTATTGAAATTGAATAGGCATACTCATTTTAGAAGGCCTGCATTACTCTGATACCTAAGCCACAGGTGGATACTAAAAGAAAAGTTCAATCCAGTGTCTCTGATGAACATAAATGCCAGAATACTAACACATTAAATCTGGCAGCACATTAAAAGGATAATTCATGGTTAGCAAGCACAGTGATATTTGAACATATGCAAATCAATAAATGTGATATACCACATTGGCAGAATGAAAGGCAAAAACCATATGGTTACCTCAATAGATGCAGAAAAGGCATTGACAAAATTCAACATCCTTCATCATAAAAACTATGCTTAGAAGGAACCTACCACAGTGATAAATGCCACATATTACAATCGCACAGCTAACATCATATTCAATGGTGAAAAATTGAAAGCTTTCCTTCTAAGATCAGAAAGAAAATAAGGATGCCCACTCTCACCGAGTCTACTCAATATATTACTGAAAGTACTAGCTAGAGTAAGTAGGTAAGAAATAAAAGGCAACCAAATTGCAAAAGAAGAAGTAAAATTGTCTGTTTGCAGATGACGTGATCTTATATCGAGAAAATCCTAAAGATGTCCTCAAAAAAACCTTCTAGAATAAGTGAGTTCATAAAGCTGCAGATTAAAAAATGAACATACAAAAACTAGTGGTATCTCTGAACAGTAACAATGAATTATCTGAAAAGGAAGTCAAGAAAACAATCCCATTTATAACTATAAAAAATTAAAACAAAATACTTAGGAATAAATTCAACCAGGAGGTTTAATCTCTGTACACTGAAAACTATAATACATTGATGAAATAAATGGAAAAAGAGAATTAAAAGTAAATATACCTATGTACATTAATTTTAAAAAATTAATATTGTTAAAATATCTAAAATAATTAAATTACCTACAGATTCTATCAAGTCCCTATTAAAATTCCGATGGCATTCATCATAGAAATGGAAAAAACAAAACCAAATTTGTATGTACTTGTACAAGACTCTAAATAGCCAAAGTAATTTTGAGAAAAAGGAACAAAGCTGGAAGCATCACACTCACTGCTTCAAACTCTACTACAAAGCCATATTAATTAAAACAGTATGGTACTATAAAAACATGACACATAACAATGGAACACAGTAGGGAGCCCAAAAATAAATTCACACATATATGGCCAACTAAGATTTGACAAGGGTGCCAATAATACACAATGGGAAAAGAAAAGTCTATTTAATAAATGCTGTTGTAAAAGCTAAATATCCACATGCAAAAGAAAGAAACTGAAGTCTTGTCTTATGACATATACTAAAACTAACTGGAAATGAATTAAAGATTTAAATGTAAAACCTGAAACTGTAAAACTACCAGAAGAAAACATAAGGAAAAAACACCTTGACAACAGTCTTGGCAATCATTTTTTGGATATGACCACAAAAGCACAGGCAACAAAAAATAAACAAGTGGGACTATATCAACTAAAAATTCCACTGCGCCACAAAAGAAACAATTGACCAAATTAAAAGGTAACCTATCGAATGGGAGAAAATATTAGTAAACCATATGTATGATAAGGGGTTAATACTCATAATATATTAGGAAGTACGCAAGTCAACAGTAAAACAACAAACAACCTGATTTTTACAATTGGCAAAGATTTTAACAGACATATTCCCAAAACAGACATAGAAATAGCCAACATGTATATGAAAAGGTGCTCAACATCATCAACCATTGGGAAAATGAAATTAAAACCGCAATGAAACATCACCTCATACCTACTGTAATGGCCATTATGAGAAGACACATGATAACAAGTGTTGGTAAGGATGTGGAGAAAAGGGAACCCTTTCACAGTATTGATGGGAATGTAAATTGGCACAGGCATTATGGAAAACAATATAGATGTTCTTCAAAAAATAAAAAATAAAACTTCCATATGTTCCAGCAATCTCACTTCTAGATATATACCCAAAGGAAATGAAATAAGTATCTCTAAAAGATAACTATACTGCTATGTTCACTGCAGCATCATTCACTATAGCCAAAATATGGAAACAACCCAAGTGTACATCAATTGATGAATGAGTATAAAAATTGTGGTACATATATGTGATAGATTATCATCCAGCCAAAGAAAGAAGGAAGTTTTGCCCTTTGCAGCAACATAGATAAACCTAATAGACATTACGGTAGGTGAAATAAGCCAGACACAGAAAGACAGACACTATATGATCTCACTTACATGTAGAATCTGAAAAAAAAAAAAAAAAGCTCATTGAAGGAGAGAGTAGAACAGTGGTTGTCAGAGGGTTTTGAAGTCAGAGAAAAGGGGAATATGTTGGTCAAATGGTACAAACTTTCAGCCCTAAGATAAACACATTCTTGGTAACTAATGTACAACATGGATGGTGATTAATGTGTTAATTTGATTGTGGTAATCATTATACAATGTATATGTATATCAAATTATCATTTCATATACCTTGAATATATTTGATCTTTATGTGTCAATTAAATATTTATAAATTTAAAAATCTACAAAAGAAACAAATCATTTCAATTCTATACAATAAAAAAGAACTATCTAAAAGGGAAATTAAGAAATTAATCTCATTTCCATTAGAACCAAAAAATAAAATATTTAGGAGTAAACTTAAACAAAGAGGTGAAAGACTTGTACACTTAAACTGTAAAACATTGATGAAAGAAATTAAAGCAGATGGAAATAAACGGAAAGACTTTCTGTGTTAATGGAATAGAACAATTAATATTGTTAAAATATCCACACTACCTGAAGCAATCTATAGATTCAATACAATCTCTGTGAAAATCCCAACATCATTTTTTAAAGAAATTTTTAAAAATCCTAAAATTCATGTGGAGACACAAAGACTCATGAAGTGACATGGACAGGGGAAAAGGTGGCAAGAAGGTTTTATTTAGGAGGGAATAAATGCGGTTACACGCTAAAGGTTACACCCAATAGGGAGGACAAAGTTCATGTTATAGGTGAGAGAAAGGAGAGTTACCAGAGTAATTGCCTTTAGTAGAGAGGACGGGATGGAATCTGGTGCACAGGTGGAAGGGTTTACTTCTGTAGGAGCAGGATCAGGTCACCCAGTTTCAGGAGAAGTTAAAGGAAACTTAATCACAGATGCAGGTTGTATAGTGGTAGTGATGGGAGATTAAGGAATTCTCACCTGTTACCTTTCTCAGTAAAACAGGAAGCAACACAATAAACAGAGTGATAATAGAGAAGGATTATTTGAAGATTCAGACCACTTTTTCTATAGTCTGAATATTTTTACCATGTACAAAATTTATATTCCTAAGTATAAACTTTGGTTTTTATCAAAAATAAAATATTTTAAAACTCAATTTTTGACCCCCTTGCATTTGGGGTTCCAGATGTTTTGGATGCTGCCCATTTAATGCACTCATTTGAGATTTGAATATGTAGTAAGCTAGTTAAAGGGAGGCAGTAGGATAGGCTTCTGTTATACTAGGGGCGATTTGTTAGGTCCAAAGTGATTCCGGATCATCAACTTGATCCCAGGCACATGGCTAAAATTGTAGTGTTTTTCAGACAACAGATGGCTAAGATTGTAGCAAGAACAACTTCCCTGACAACATAGGTCACCTGTGTTAGTCTGTAAGTCATCTCTGGGTGTCCAGCCTATAGTCTGCTCTTCTAGACTTGGCAGTGATTTTGTGAACACCTCTCTTGATATTAAATGATGTTTTGTTTAAAATAGCTGGAATGGTTTCTTCTCTCTGACACAAAATCCTGATTGGTCTATGAAAAGACTGTCATTATTAAACTTACAGTGAAATCAATTGGCAATAAGGTCAAACATACAGCTAAAAGTCATAAAAATTTGCTAGGATTAATAATGAAGCTCCAGAAAAAAAAAGTAAAATTTTTTTTGATCTTTTTCAGTAAAAGTAACCAGCTTTCTTTTGCCACTCTCTGCTTATGTATGTAAGAAAAATTGGTAGTTTAATATCTTTCAAAGTGCACTTACAAATATAATATTTTCCTCTTAATGATATTTTTCAACTCTTTGATATCTGCATAGAATCTTGAGTTTACAGCCCTAAGTCATTTATGACCCTTCAGTAGAGGAATCACTCTTTTGCTTAAAGCCACAGAATGGCTTCTTATTGTAATTGTAATAAAATGAAAACTCACATTTACTATGTAGACCATATGTTTTTGACACTACCAGTATCTCTAACTTTAAGTTTAATCATTTTCACATTAAATTACTATATTCTTGGTAACATGGACTTTATTGTATTCTTCAAATATACCAAGTTCATCATCATCTTTGAGTTTTTGCACTGCCTGTGCCCTCTGTCTACCATACTATAGCCACAAATGTTTGCATGTTTGGCTTCTTCAGTTTATCCAGATATGATCCAAAATGTCAGCTCTTCAAGGCCTTTTTTTATTATTAAACACAAATTGGTTACTCCCAATCCAGAGTCACAGTTTATCATTTCACTTTTCGTTTTAGTTTTTACAGAGCAGTATCTCTTCCTGAAACTATGCTGTTTATTTTCTACCTTAACGGCGGTCTATTTTTACTAGGTTGTATCTCTTGGAGAGCAGATAGACCTTATCTGCCTCAATACTTTCTTTCTTCAGTTCCTAGAATAGTCCTGACAAATGGGAGGTATTCAATGATTGCAGTACTTGGAAATAAACAAATCAATTTCAGATAAAATTCTACAGTCTATTTTTATTCTTTTTTTTTTTTTTGCCCTTTTTCAGGCTATGTGTTTATTAAACACCTTTTTCATGGAAGCTTTCACTTCCTGGTTATGAAGGGTATAAATGACAGGATTCAACAAAGGAAGAATCACTGTGTGGAAGAGAGAAACCACCTTGTCGGCTGGGAAAGCCCTGAAGGGGCACGTGTAGATGAAGATGCCAGGTCCAAACATGAAGAATATAACAATGATATGGGTGGTGCATGTGGACATGGCCTTGTTTTTTGCCTCAGAAGAAGACGCTCGTATGCGACAAAGAATGACTGCATAGGAGGCCAGAAGTCCCAGAAAGCACATGAGTGTCATCAGGCCACTATTGAAGACCATCAGAAGCTCCACCACAAACATGTCGGTGCAAGCCAGCTTGATGACCTGTCGGACATCACAGAAGAAGTTGTCCAGCTGGTTTGGGCCACAAAAAGGCAAGCGGATGATGAGGACCACCTGGATAATGGAGTGGACAAAACCCCCAAGCCACAGAGCCAACATCATTGCATAGCAGGCTCTAGAGTTCATGACAGTTGAATACTGCAGAGGCAGGCAGATGGTGATGTAGCAGTCAAAGGCCATCACAACAAGGAGTAATCCCTCCCCTCCTCCAAGGAAGTGCAAGAAAAAGAGCTGAGTGATGCAGCCTCTGTAGGAGATTACCTTCTTCTCAGAGAGGAAGTCCACCAACATCCTGGGAGCCACAATGAAGGAGTAGGATGCATCCAGGAAGGCCAAGTTGCCCAGAAATAAATAGAGGGGGGCTGTGAGCCCAGGGTCTGACCTTATGGTGAAAATAATGAGAAAATTTCCAGGGAGGATGAAGAAGTAGAATATTAAAACTAGCACAAAGACCAGGAGCTAAATATCTCGAAACTGGGTCAAACGAAGGAGGATGAATTCTCTTATCACTGTTCTGTTCTCGCTTTCCATTTCCCTGGCCTGCAGTACATTAAGAAGCAGAATTAATTGTTATTGCTATGTCTTCCAACTAGATACTAGTTCTACAGCTAAAAAATATTTGGCACATATAGTACTTCAGCTAAAAACAACACTTCCCATCCCTCTCCTATTCTGGGGAAACTCTGTTACCTTAATTTCTCCAAATTTAAAATGAAAAATGAAAACAAAATATGGTTCTCAAAGCTACAGTTTTATTCCCATTCAACCATGTGCTTCTACAGAATCATTTTCCATGTTAGGAGTCTGGTATCCTCCACGTTGGGATTCCTACATTCCTAAATCATGTAAGTTTCCTAATGGAGACACAACCTAACTTCAAATCTGAAGGTCTTTGAGTTTTTTGGATATACTATGCTTGAGGGTTAGTTCTTTTCTTGGGATTAGACCCTTTTTCTCCTTGTCCACACCACCCCCAAATTTTCCTAGACAGTTTCTTCCCTCAATTCCTGTGTAATTCCCAGTTCCTAGCTGGTAACTCTCTTCCTTGCCCTCTGTCTTATCATCTAATTTACTTCTTACTATACTCCTTTTGGTCTGATATCCTTGAATACTCTTTTCCCAGACTGTTCACGAGAATCCCAAGCTATAGCTCCACTTTTGACCTAACACAGGCACAGTGCTCCAGCTGTAACTCTGTTTGAACACCACTCCTGTGGCCACTCCACACCTGCATGCAGCTTATTTAGCACTTTTTGAGTTTCAAATACTAATAAACTCACAACACATTTCTTTCTCTGTTCCAAGTATGACACCCAAGATACAGCCCTTTAACAAAAAATATGCTACAATATAAAATTTGCAAGTATAAAACTTTAAAATATCATTATCTCAACTCATAAGATCATAGCATAGATACACTGTAAGTAGCCATAAAGATACTGTAGTGTTATTCTTCCATTTCAAAGATGAGAAATAACCTGTAGTTATATTACTTAAGTTTAGAGTGAGTTTTATTTTTTGCTCTGCTTGATAAGTAGTAGGATAATGCAAGTGTATACTATTCAGTTTAAATAGATAAAGAATTTTTTAATCACAGCTTCAATGAATGAATGTTCTTTTTGTGCATCTGAATAACTAAAGATAATATTGCTAGTCTAAAATCACTCCCGTATTGCTTTGATTTGTAAGTTCAACCTTGTTTAAATAAAAAGAAAAACAATGTCCATTGTGAAGAAAATTCATATTTAAAATTCAGATTGTTTTCATGGGGTATACTCATTCCAGAAGGTGCACATGATAATCCACTGAAGTATAGAAAGAACATAGTAATTTATCTATATTTAGTCAGTGTATAACATTTTATATGTATCACTACATTTCATTCTTTTCTAAATTCACTTTTTAATATTTATAATGGATAACATAGTACAATGGTTTATATATACTTTATAAATAAATATGCATACATTTAAGGTTATATATTCAAAAAATGTCTTAGGGGAGTAAATTTTTTAAGTTTGAAAATTGTTGGCCTACAACAAAATACAAACTGTAATATAAAAGGATATTCTTAATATGATTTAACTAAACAGTGTATTTGTTTTAAATAAGTGCTCTAGCGGCCGGGCGTGGTGGCTTATGCCTGTAATCCCAGCACTTTGGGAGGCCAAGGCGGGTGGATCACGAGGTCAGGAGATCGAGACCATCTTGGCTAACATGGTGAAACCCCGTCTCTACTAAAAAAATACAAACAAATTAGCCGTAGTGGTGGTGGTTGCCTGTAGTCCCAGCTACTCAGGAGGCTGAGGCAGGAGAATGGTGTGAACCCGGGAGGCAGAGCTTTCAGTGAGCCGAGATCATGCCACTGCACTCCAGCCTGGGTGACAGAGCGAGACTCTGTCTCAAAATAAATAAATAAATAAATAAATAAATAAATAAATAAGTGCTCTAGCACATGGGGTACGGAAGGAAGGGAAAATCTTTGACAGAAAATGCTACTGCAACAGTACCTAGAAAAGAAAGACAAGAAGATAGAGGATGAGGGAAGAAAGAAGAGAGAAATAGAAAATCAGGCAAACAAACACCAAACAAGCAAACAAACAAGCAAACAAACACCAAAAGACAGACAGCACATCTATATAGTGTCATCTTAGGGTACATATTTTAAGAAGCATTAAAACTATCTGCTTTATGTATCCCTAGAGTGGAATAGAGTGGTTAATACAGAAATTTCTGGGTGTTACTGGCAGCCACATGTGGAATTTATGAAAGTCATATTTTAACACATCATCATATATACATATGCAAATACCACATGAACACACACGTATGCACACACATACAAACACATGCAAAATTGTAATAGGAAAAAATATTTTGTAGATCCTTCAAATGAGCTTTTCTGCTCATGTCTTAACCTTTTCCCCCTTTGCCAGCCATTTGTCTCAACATTTATTCTACTATCTGCCTATATAAATATTTCCTTAAATCAAGAGCCCCTTCTACAGTTGACAATTGAACAATGCAGGAGTTAAGGGGGCAGATCCCCTGTGCAATAAAAAATTAGCACATACCCTGACTCCCTAAAAACTTAGCTTCTAACGATTACTGTTGATCAGAAGCTTTGCTGGTAACATAAACAGTTGAATAACAAATATTTTTGTTTTATGTATTATATACTATATTCCTACAATAAATTAAGCTACAGAAAATAAAATATAACAAAATCATAAGGAAAGGAAGATATAAATACTGTTCATTAAGTGGAAGCAAATCATCATAAAGTTCTTATCGTTGTCGTCTTCCCACTGAGTAGGCTGAGGAGAAGGAAAAGGAAGGGTTCGTTTTGCTGTCTCAGGGGTGGCAGAGGTGGAAGAAAATCCACATATAAGTGGACACGTGTGGTTCAAACCCATGTTTTTCTGGAGTCAACTGTACTTACTTATATGTTTTATGCATCCCACATGCTAACATAGAGTGAGGTATTTCTTGATGTGTTAGCATTTAACAATATCCCTGAGACATTTGAGGATTTCTGAAGGACTTTGAAATTGAAGGTTATAAGCTCTTCCATTCTGCCTGTGTCCCAGCCTCACTGTTATTTTTCCACTGTTTCTTAACAGATGGGATTCTGTACTACTTGACATCTTGATCAACTTTCTTCCCTGTCCCACTTCCATCTTTGAATTATCTCTACCTTCTCTAAATTGTGGTTGGAATAGACGCGGAGACTAATCAGATGAGCATTCCTCTAAGCAAAATAAAATAAGTTTCTACCAAAAAAAAAAAATCCATAAATGATGACGTCATCAGAGTAAAGTGTTCTATTTTAGCCAAATTAGTAGAGAAAGTTCTGTCAAAACTCTGTACCATACCTTCCTCACTGTATCTCTAATCGTTCTTGCCACTTCAGCTAATTCGTGGATTGATCAGTTTCTGGCCATGATGACACACTGCAGAAATAGGGAAGATGAAGGAGAAGGGTTCACCACATTTGCAAGGTGGAGACACAGAAACATCTCCAGGCAACTCTGTGTGTGCATGCCTGGAGTCTGAGTGTGGTCAGATGGGCTGCTGGAGCCAAGTGTTTAGAGATCTTATGTGCTTACTCCGCCTCCTTCCTTATTTTTCTTTTTCTCTCTTTCTTTATTCATCAATAAGCAGTTCATTTTCTTTTTTTTTCTGGTTGTGATTTCTTTTCCCTGTTAATTTGTTGCCTGTTCTTTTCCCCTTCTCTGTTTCTTTCTGGCTCTATTTATTTTGTTCTCTTTAAATATTGTTCTTTATTTTTTTTTCTTTCTTCTCCCTTACATTTATCTATGTTTTTTCACTCTGATATGTTTTCACTCTCTCCACTTTTTGTCTATGTTCATGGCTACTCCATTCTACCCACACCTGTCTTGCTAATGCATCTAAAAACAAAACGAAACAAGAAACAGAAAATCTCGTTGTCATTTGCTTTTCCAACAAGACTGAGAAATGTGTGTGCTTCCCACCATCTTCCATTTTAAATGTTAAGTCTACAAAATGAAAATATATAATTCACTCTTCAGTAATAACCATTTACTTTTAAGTGGTATTCTTGCAATTGGCCAACGCTGAGTCATTTATCAACTACTTCATATATATGTAGTGAACCTGATAAAAATGAGATGATTCACCTTTTTTTTAAAAAAAAGTTAATTTCATTAGTAGCATCCTAATGAAATAAATATATTGAATGTAAATTTCAAAAATAGAGATGTAATATTAGTAGTAATAATTTACTAACTACACAAGGTTAGTAAATTATTTGAGTATGAAATAAGTTTTATATTTTCTAAAAAGTGTGAATCAGGCTGAGAACATAATAGAAAATTTAATTTATACTGATGCTGATGCTGAGTATATAAAGCACTAAACAAATGTGTAGATTCTTAGCCAGAAAATTTATTCATCAATCAAATGAGATGGCCAGATTAAATGCCCTCTAAATTCCATTTGAATGCCAGTTTTTTAGGCAATGTAATAACATAAAAGGATCCCTGGTTTGGGAATCATTTATCTGACTCTCATGCCTTGACTGAGCAATTAACTTACTGTGTGATTCTGGCAAAGTCACTTAGCTTTCAGAAGCCTGAGTTTTCATCTACCAAATAGTTTAATGTATTGACTCTTTGGGTCTGATGGGGGTAACATGAGGATCAAATGAGGTGATGATGGTATTAATATGTAATTCATTCAAGTATGCTTCAACCAAAGTTAATCCTGAAAATATTTAGATGTTAAAAGTAGTTATATTGAATGGACAGAATGCTGCTAGATCTTTTGTCAATGTCTTTGAGTAACCCCTGGGATAATGGTAGTTGCATAAATCTGAATGGTTAATAGAAAGAAGCTGTGGAGGGTCAGTAATGCCTTCATGTAAAATTGCCAATACAGCTAGTAGTTTGTATATCAAGCTTTTTTTCAGTTCTACAGCTTTCTGTCAAAATTCTATGAATGAATGATAGAACCATATGTAACAGAAGAAACTTTCATACCTGCTGAATGTGAAAATGAAGAGGTCAAGGACTTACCTTCCGCAAAATCATAAAATCTGTTAAGTTTTTCTCTGGAGCTTTTAGCCAACCATTTCTGCATCCTCCTCCCCTTTCTTCCATATTTAATAAGGAAAATGATACATATCAGTCATTTGTATGATTTTTTGTTTTTTAACACCAGATGTCAATTCTCTTGAGTCTATGGAAAATTATAATAGAATTAAAGGTTTAGTTCACCAGTAAAGTAATCCCAAGCATTAAATGCAGATGGAGATCTATTAGGAGAGAGAATACACAGTGCCCCACTGCTGAATTTAGACCTTAGCCTGTGGCTATTCCTGCTAATACTCTGACCTGTCTATTCAACTGCAATCTAAGATATCAGGTGAACAAGTAAAATAGTTGCAATATTTTTTCTATTGTCTCTTTCTTCTTGTTTCTTGTATATATATGAAGAGCTCCAGAAATTTAAGCCTTCAGGGATCTTATGTTACTCTCACAAAGTAGCCATCCTCCCTCTCCTAGTAAGACTAACCAATTTTGCCATTGTTCATAAATGTTCATTGCCACATGAGGAACCTTAGATTTTAAAATCTCTCTATTGTAATGGAGAAAGTGCTTTTGAGATTTGAGACTACCGTGACCCACTGAATGCTTCCAAAGGGAGTTATTAGGCAAACTATATTAGTTATCAACTAAATAAGGCAAAGAAAAATACCAGAGCTTTGCAAGAACTAATTTTTTTTAAATGTGCTACATAATGCCAAGCTGACTTCCTTTCTAGTTCTAAAACAAAAATTCTACTGTGAAAAAGACAGAACCCTATTCAGAAGCATACTTTTTAGTCCAGAAGTAAATAGAAGTTTGAGAGAAGTAAATTTACATGTTATAATAAAATTCAAAAGGAGAAAAATATTAAATAAATGATGAGAGATTATTGCTTTGTACCACAAAAGCAAGCAGGGGTAGGATGAGGCAAAAATTACATATATACATATATATATATATATATATATATATATATATATATATATATATATGACTAGACTCAAATTTTTCAATTAAAGGCTTCACCAAACTTTAGAGGGTGGCTGGCAAGATGGCCAGATAAGAGCAACTCCAGTCTGCAGCTCCCAGCAAGACCAACGCAGAAGGTGGGTGATTTCTGCATTTCCAACTGAGGTACCCGGCTCATCTCATTGGGACTGGTTAGACAGTGGGTTCAGCCTACGGAGGATGAGCCAAAGCAGGGTGGGGCATCACCTCACCCGGGAAGTGGAAGGGTTCAGGGAACTCCCTCCCCGGCCAAGGGAAGCCATGAGAGACTGTGCCAAGAGGAATGGTGGATTCTGATCCACATACTAGGCTTTTCCCATGGTTTTTGCAACCTGCAGACCAGGAGATTCCCTTGGGTGCCTACACCACCAGGGCCCTGGGTTTCAAGCACAAAACTAGGCAGCCATTTGGGCAGACACTGAGGTAGAAGCAGGAGTTTTTTTCATACCCCAGTGGCACCCGGAATGCCAGCAAGATAGAACGATTCACTCCCCTGGAAATGGGGCTGAAGCCAGGGAGTCAAGTGGTCTATCTCAGTGGATCCCACCCCCATGGAGCCCAGCAAGCTAAGATCCACTGGCTTGAAATTCTTGCTGCCAGCACAGCACTCTGAAGTTGACCTGGGACACTCGAGCTTGGTTGGGGTAGGGGCATCCGCCATTACTGAGGCTTGAGTAGGCACTTTTCTCTTCACAGTGTAAATAAAACCACCAGGAAGTTTGAACTGGGCAGAGCCCACTGCAACCCAGCAAAGCAGCTATAGCCAGACTGCTTCTCTAGATTTCTCCTCTCTGGGCAGGGTATCTCTGAAAGAAAGGCAGCGTCCCCAGTCAGGGGCTTATAGATAAAAATCCCATCTCCCTGGGACAGAGCACCTGGGGGGAAGGGCGGCTGTGGGCACAGCTTCAGCAGACTTAAATGTTCCTGCCTGCCATCTCTGAAGGGAGCAGCAGATCTCCCAGCAAAGCGCTTGAACTCTGCTAAGGGACAGACTGCCTCCTCAAGTGGCTCCCTGATGCCTGTGCCTCCTGACTGGGAGACACCTCCTAGCAGGGGTTGACAGACACCTCATACGGGAGATCTCCAGCTGGCATCTGGCTGGTGCCCCTCTGGGACAAAGCTTCCAGAAGAAGGAACAGGCAGTAGTCTTTGCTGTTCTGCAGCATCTGCGATGACACCCAGGTAAACAGGGTCTGGAGTGGACCCGCAGCAAACTCCAGCAGACCTGCAGCAGAAGGGCCTGACTGTTAGAAGGAAAACTAACAAACAGAAAGAAATAGCATCAACATCAACAAAAAGGATGTCCACCCAAAAACACCAACTGAAGGTCACCAACATCAAAGAACAAAGTTAGATAGGTCCAAGAAGATGAGGAAAAACCAGAGCAAAAAGGCTGAAAATTCCAAAAACCAGAACACCTCTTCTCCTCCAAAGTATCACAACTCCTTGCCAGCAAGGGAGCAAAACTGGATGGAGAATGAGTTTGACAAGTTGACAGAAGTAGGCTTCCAAAGATGGGTAGTAACAAACTCCTCTGAGCTAAAGGAGCATGTTCTAACCCAAAACAAGGAAGCTAAGAACCTTGAAAAAGGTTAGAGGAATTGATAACTAAAATAACCACCTTAGAAAAGAACATAAATAACCTGATGGAGCTGAGAAACACAGCACGAGAACTTCATGAAGCATACACAAGTATCAATAGCCAAATCAATTGAGTGGATGAAAGGATACCAGGGATTGAAGATCAACTTAATGAAATAAAGCGTGAAGACAAGATTGGAGAAAAAAGATTGAAAAGGAATGAACAAATCCTCCAAGAAATATGGGACTATGTGAAAAGACCAAACCTACGTTTGATTGGTGTACCTGAAAGTGACGGGGAGAATGGAACCAAGTTGGAAAACACTCTTCAGGATATTATCCAGGAGAACTTTCCCAACCTAGCAAGACAGGCCAGCATTCAAATTCAGGAAATACAGAGAACACCACAAAGATACTCCTCGAGAAGAGCAACCCCAAGAAACATAATTGTCAGATTCACCAAGGTTGAAATGAAGGAAAAAATGTTAAGGTCAGCCAGGAAGAAAGGTCAAGTAGTTACCCACAAAGGGAAGTCCATCAGACTAACAGTGGATCTCTCTGCAGAAACCCTACAAGCCAGAAAGAAGTGGGGGCCAATATTCAACGTTCTTAAAGAAAAGAATTTTCAAACCAGAATTTAATATCCAGCCAAACAAAGTTTCATAGATGAAGGAGAAATAAAATCCTTTACAGATAAGAAAATACTAACAGATTTTTGTCACCACCAGGCCTGCCTTACAAGACCTCCAGAAGGAAGCACCAAATATGGAAAGAAAAACTGGTACCAGCCACTGCAAAAACATACCAAATTGTAAAGACTATTGAAGCTATGAAAAAACTGCATCAACTAACAGGCAAAATAACCAGATAACATCATAATGACAGGATCAAATTCACACATAACAATGTTAACCTTAAATGTAAATGGGTTAAGTCCCCAGTTAGAATACACAGACTGGTAAATTGGATAGAGACTCAAGACCCATTGGTGTGCTGTATTCAGGAGACCCATCTCACGTGCAAAGACACACATAGGCTCAAAATGAAGGGATGGAGGAAGATTTACCAAGCATATTGAAAGCCAAAAAAAAGCAGGGGTTGCAATCCTAGTCTCTGATAAAACAGACTTTAAACCAACAAAGATCAAAAAAGACAAAAAAGGGCATTACATAATGGTAAACGGATCAATGCAACAAGAAAAGCTAACTATCCCAAATATGTATGCACCTAATACAGGAGCACCCATATTCATAAAGCAAGTCCTTAGAGATATACAAAGAGACTTACATTCCCACACAATAATAGTGGGAGACTTTAACACCCCACTGTCAATATTAGACAGATCAAGAGACAGAAAATTAACAAGGACATTCAGGACTTGAACTCAGCTCTGGACCAAGCAGAACTAATAGACATCTACAAAACTCTCCACCCCAAATCAACAGAATATACATTCTTTTCAGCACCACATCACACTTATTATAAAATTGACCACATAATTGGAAGTAAAACACTCCTCAGCAAATGCAAAAGAACAGAAATCATAACAAATAGTCTCTCAGATCACAGTGCAATCAAATTAGAACTCAGGATTAAGAAACTCACTCAAAACTGCACAACTGCATGGAAACTGAACAACCTGCTCCTGAATGACTACTGGGTAAATAACGAAATTTAGGCAGAAATAAATAAGTTCTTTGAAACCAATGAGAACAAAGACACAATGTACGAGAATCTCTGGGACACAGCTAATGCAGTGTTTACAGGAAAATTTATAGCACTAAATGCCAACAGCTTAAAGCAGCAAAGATCTAAAATCAACACCCTAACATTACAATTAAAAGAACTAGAGAAGTAAGAGCAGACAAATTCAAAAGCTAGCAGAAGACAAGAAATAACTAAGATCAGAGCAGAACTGAAGGAGATAGAGACACAAAAAACCCTTCAAAAAATCAATGCATCCAGGAGCTGGTTTTTTGAAAACATTAACAAAATAAATAGACCACTAACCAGACTAATGAAGAAAAGAAAGAAGAATCAAATAGACACAATAGAAAATGATAAAGGGGTATCACCACTGATCCCATAGAAATACAAACTACCATCAGAGAATACTACAAACACCTCTACACAAATAAACTAGAAAATCTACAAGAAATGGATAAATTCCTGGGCACATACACCCTCCCAAGACTGAACCAGGAAGAAGTCAAATCCCTGAATAGACAAATAACAAGTTCTGAAATCGAGGCAGTAATTAATAGCCTACCAACCAAAAAAAAGTCCAGGACCAGACAGATTCACAGCCAAATTCTACCAGAGGTACAAAGAGGAGCTGGTACCATTCCTTCAGAAACTATTACAAACAATAGAAAAAGAGGGACTCCTCCCTAACTCATTTTATGAGGCCAGCATCATCCTGATACCAAAACCTGGCAGAGACACACATAAAAAAGAAAATTTCAGGCCAATATCCCTGATGAACATCAATGCAAAAATCCTCAATAAAATACTGGCAAACCGAATCCAGCAGCACATCAAAAAGCTTATCCACCATGATCAAGTTGGCTTCATCCCTGGAATGCAAGGCTGGTTCAACATACCCAATCAGTAAACATAATCCATCACATAAACAGAACCAATGACAAACATCACATGATTATCTCAATAGATGCAGAAAAGGCCTTCAGTAAAATTCACCCCTTCATGCTAAAAACTCTAAATAAACTAGGTATTGATGGAACGTATCTGAAAATAATAAGAGCTATTTATGACACACCCACAGCCAATATCATACCGAATGGGCAAAAGCTGGAAGCATTCTCTTTGAAAACCAGCACAAGACAAGGATGCCTTTTCTCACCATTCTTATTCAACACAGCATTGGAAGTTCTGGCCAGGGCAATCAGGGAAGAGAAAGAAATAAAGCGTATTCAAATAGGAAGAGAGGGAGGTAAATTGTCAAAGTTTGCAGATGACATGATTGTATATTTAGAAAACCCCATCATCTTAGCCCAAAATCTCCTTAAGCTCATAAGCAACTTCAGCAAAGTCTCAGGATACAAAATCAATGTGCAAAAATTACAAACATTCCTATATACCATTAATAGATAAACAGCCAAATCATGAGTGAACTCCCATTCACAACTGCTACAAAGAGAATGAAATACCTACGAATACAACTAACAAGGGATATGAAGGACCTCTTCAAGGAGAATTACAAACCACTGCTCAAGGAAAAAGAGAGGACACAAATGGAAAAACGTTCTGTGCTCATGGATAGGAAGAATCAATATCATGAAAATGGCCATACTGCCCAAAGTAATTTACAGATTCAATGCTATCCCCATCAAGCTACCATTGATTTTCTTCACAGAATTAGAAAAAACAACTTTAAATTTCATACAGAACCAAAAAAGAGCCTGTATAGCCAAGACAATCCTAAGCAAAAAGAAAGAGGCATCACACTACCTGACTTCGAACTATACTACAAGGCCGCAGTAACCAAAACAGCATGGTACTGGTACCAAAACAGATATATAGACCAATGGAACAGAAAAGAGGCCTTAGAAATAATGCCACACATCTACAACCATCTGGTCTTTAACAAGCCTGACAAAAGCAAGCAATGGGAAAAGGATTCCCTATTTAATAAATGGTGTTGTGAAAACTGGCTAGACATATGCAGAAAACTGAAACTGAACCCCTTCCTTACACCTTATACAAAATTAACTCAAGATGGATTAAAGGAGTAAATGGAAAACCTAAAACCATAAAAACCCTAGAAGAAAACCTAGGCAATACCATTCAGGACATAGGCATGGGCAAAGACTTCATGACTAAAACACCAAAACCAATGGCAACAAAAGCCAAAATTGACAAATGAGATCTAATTAAACTAAAGAGCTTCTGCACAGCAAAAAAACAAACAAACAAACAAACAAACAAAAAAAAACCTCTCATCAGAGTGGACAGTCAACCTACAGAATGAGAGGAAATTTTTGCAATCTATCCAGCTGACAAAGGGCTAATATCTAGCATCTACAGGGAACTTAAACAAATTTACAAGAAAAAAAACAACCCTATCAAAAAGTGAACAAAGGATATGAACAGACACTTCTCAAAAGAAGACATTTATGCAGCCAACAAACATATGAAAAAAAAGCTCATCATCACTGGTCATTAGAGAAATGCAAATCAAAACCACAATGAGATACCATCTCATGCCAGTTAGAATGGTGATCATTAAAAGGTCAGGAAACAGCAGATGCTGGAGAGGATGTGGAGAAATAGGAACCCTTTTACACTGTTGGTGGGAGGGTAAATTAGTTCAACCATTGTAGAAGACAGTGTAGCGATTCCTCAAGGATGTAGAACCAGAAATACCATTTGACCCAGCAATCCCATTACTGGGTATATACCCAAAGAATTATATATCATTCTACTATAAAGACACATGCACATGTATGTTTACTGTGGCACTGTTCACAATAGCAAAGACTTTGAACCAACCCAAATGCCCATCAATCATAGACTGGATAAAGAAAATGGGTCACATATACTTTATGGAATACTATGCAGCCATAAAAAAGGATGAGTTCATGTCATTTGCAGGGATATGGATGAAGCTAGAAACCATCATTCTCAGCAAACTAACACAGGAACAGAAAACCAAACACCACATGTTCTTACTCTTAAGTGGGAGTTGAACAGTGAGAACACAGGGACACAGGGAGGGGAATATCCCACACGGGGGCCTGTCACAGGGTGGGGGGCTAGGGGAAGGATAGCATTAGGAGAAATACCTAATGTAGGTGACAGGTTGATGGGTGCAGCAAACCACCATGGCACATATTTACCTATGTAACAAACCTGCATATTCTACGCATGTATCCCAGAACTTAAAGTATAATTTTTAAAAAAGACTTCACCAATATTATTTATTTTTCCTGTTGCCTCAGGTTCCAACATGGCTCAACATGGCAGTTGCTGATCCTGCCTTTGCTTAAAATTTGGTACTTTATCACAAATTTTAAAATTAATTTTGATTTCTCAAAATATTGATTTAAATGTTTATCTCTACTATTGAGTTTTTGGGCACGCCTTTAAATTTTGCATGCAAGATAAGCACCTTACTCAGTTGTAGGATGTTGACGGTGATAAGGACATTAGCAAAGGAAATATTGAAAAGCTCATGAATACTGCTGCATAATTCTTCTTAGAGAAAATAGTTTCTTAGTATAGGATAGAACAATTGCTAAAGGGAAGGTGATCTCCTACATAGCATGAAAAGATGTGTCATGCTCTTGGTATTTGTAATTTGTTCCCTTTCACTCTGCTCAACTAAAACAAGGATGAAAAACATTTTTCCATTAAAGATTATTAATTTTAAAAATTATTTGAGTCAGAAAAAATAAATGCAAATTAATTTTATTAATTTTATTTAAAAATTAGTTTAATCTTTTGCTTTAAAGAAAACACTGAGTTTATGGGTCACTTTACAAGTGAAATAAGAACACAGATTTGGGGGTAATAAACATAATTTATCACCAAATACATTTGTTTTAATTTATTTCACAGTTCAAAAACAAAGTGTAAGAGTAGAAAAAGGAAAGAAAGAAGAAAGGAGAGAGAGAGAAGTACAGAAAAAGTTACAATAATCAAAATAAAAATCAAGAGAAAAGGGAAAAGAAAGACTAGCAGAGACATAAATGGAAAGATAGTCGTATGACTTAAAAACAAATGGTGAAGAGACAGAGAGATACTAGTCCATGAGGAGAGCAAGACCATCCAGAGGCAAAACTCCTTATCCAAGGAATTCAGAAGTAATTAGACATCCCTATTATGTAAAGCTGGCATCTGGTATGAGATTTCTTTTCCAAAAATTTGTGAGTAACCAGAATTTCTATGCATCTCTGGAATGCATGTATTCTAAACTCATTGTGCAATCCCTGCTGACATCAAGGCACCAAAATGTCTATAAATGTAATTGTTTACCATGACCTATGTGGCTAATATGGTAAAAATTACCCTTAAGCTCCCACTTTAAGGTCCATAAATACCCTAAGGAAAAATCTACTGCAGTGGCGTCCTCAGTCCTCTCTTGCTGAGGAGCCCTGCTGCACTCCTCTGCAGCGTTCTTTCCATCTAATACAACTTTCCTTTTCAAATCTATACAGTTGTTGGTAAATTCTTCTTACTACCCACAAGCCAACCACACTCCACTGTCTGGGCTGTGACAGCTCGCATGGCAGTCCATATAAATGCACAGTCTACAAATCCATATAACCATAAAAAGAAAACAATGATAAAGAGAGCTGCACAGAGGAAAATAGAGAAAGGAAGCAAAATGAATGAGGTTAGATACGTTCTTAAGTGGAATAACAACCCCATCTTGGAGTAGGTTAGTCTTGCCACCAAAACTTTTAAAAACATGATTTTTTTTCATAATTGTGCATATAATCCAGGATCTTACTCACCTCTTAATGTTCACTCTAATAGATAAGATAAAATTAATCTGAAGATCTAAAATAGTCCTCAAAATGGAGACTTTTTAATCCTTCTAGGAAAGTTTTATCACCTTGGATAGATTTTCTCTTCTAGATAATCTTGAATTAATTTTACAATGAAAAGTATTACTGGTATTTTATTAAATTGTATTCTATTTATGCATTGACATGTATATATTCAATATTATTTTTAACCAACAAGAGTTTGTCTCTGAATTTATTCATTTTTTTCTCAAAAAAATGACCACTTTTTATATGAAAAGATACTTCCCAAAAGAAAACATGTATACGGCCAATAAGCATATGAAAAAAAAAATGCTCAGCTTGACTATTCATTAGAGAAATGCAAATCAAAACCACAATGAGATACCATCTCACACCAGTCAGAAGGACTATTATTAAAAAGTCAAAGAATGGCTGGGCACGGTGGCTCACGCCTATAATCCCAGCACTTTGGGAGGCCGAGGTGGGCAGATCACGAGGTCAGGAGATCGAGACCATTCTGGCTAACACGGTGAAACCCCGTCTGTAATAAAAAATACAAAAAAAAAAATTACCTGGGCGTGGTGGCGGGCGCCTGTAGTCCCAGCTACTCAGGAGGCTGAGGCAGGAGAATGGCGTGAACCTGGGAGGCGCAGCTTGCAGTGAGCCGAGATCGCGCCACTGCACTCCAGCCTGGGCGACAGAGCGAGACTCCGTCTCAAAAAAAAAAAAAAAAAAGAAAAGAAAAAAAAAGAAAAGTCAAAAAATAAAAATTCAAAGAGAATTTTTTTTTCTTTTTTTACTTTTATGGCATGACTTCTAGTATTTTTATATCCTTAACACTTTATACAAAAAAATCAAAGGAAGAAGAATAATAACATTTAAGTTTACTTTGTTTCGTTTTTCAGAGTTAATAGTTGTTTCACATTCTCACCAAGATTTAGTTTTTAAATGTTGATCTTGTATCCTGCAACCCTTGATAAATTTCCTTGTAAATTCTAGTTCTTTAAAGACACCATAGTATGCTCTACACATACATTTCTTCTATGAATAAATAGATTTTTATTTTTTTCTTCCTAATATTAATACCTTTAAAAAAAACTTTATTTCAGTGGTTAGCACATGTTGAATAGAAGTGGTGAGAGCATGGATACTTGCATTCTTCCTAATCTTAAGGGGGCATGCATTCAAGATTTTATCATATGTTATAATGGTTGCTATAGGTTTTTCATAATTGCCCTTTATTGGACTGGAGAGGTTCCCTTTCATTTCCAATGTACTTAGAATTTTTTACAGACATGAATGGATGTTAAAACAGATGATTTTCTGCCTCTATTGGCAAGATCATATCATTTTTCCACCTTCATTCAGTGAATATAGCAATTAACTTGATTGATTTTCAAATGTTAAGCCAACTATGCGTTTTTGGGATACATCCCATCTGGTCACAACTTTTTATGTATTGTCATGTTCGGATTGCTAATGCTTTGTTTTAAAATTTTATGTGTAGCCGGGCAGGGTGGCTCACGCTTGTAATCCCACCACTTTGGGAGGCCGAGGAGGGCGAATCATGAGGTCAGGAGATCGAGACCATCCTGGCTAAGACGGTGAAACCCCGTCTCTACTGAAAATACAAAAAATTAGCCGGGCTTGGTGGTGGGCGCCTGTAGTCTCAGCTATTTGGGAGACTGAGGCAGGAGAATGGCATGAACCCGGGAGGTGGAGCTTGCAGTGAGCCGAGATCGCACGACTGCACTCCAGCCTGGGTGACAGAGTCAGAGTCCGTCTCAAAAAAATAAAAATAAAATTGTATGTGTATGTTTTTGAGAAATCATCTTTTCTTGTAATGCAAAATCCTTGCAATGCAAAATCCTGTGTCAGATTTTGGTATCAGGGTTATACTGACCTCATAAAGAAAGTTGGGCAATGGTATCCTTTCTTCTATTTTATGAACGAGTTTAGATACAATTGGCATTACCCGTTTCTTACATATTTTAGAAAACTCCCTGGTTGAGCCATATGAACCTGGAATTTTCTTAGTAGAAAGTTTTCAGCTCTACATTCATTTCCTTTTAAAATATATTCCTATTTAGATTTTGTATATCTTGATGTGCCAGTTTTGGCAAATGTGTTTTGTCATATTGCTATTCTTCATATTCCCTTATTATCCCTTCAGTTTCTTTAGGACTAATAGTGCTTCTCTTGTTATTCTTAATGTTGGTAGTTTGTGTGTTTCTCTTTTAAAATTCATCATTCTACTAGGGGTTTATCAATTTTGGTAATCATTTCAAAATACCAATTTTTGGCTTTTAAATTTTTTTCTAATGTTTGTCTACTTTATGTTTCATTAATTTTGACTCTTTTCCTTTTATCTCTTTCTTGCAAAGGACATGATCTCATTCTTTTTATGACTACATAGTATTCCATTGTGTCTGTGTACCACATTTTCTTTATACAGTTTACCATTGATGGCAACTTTGCTATTGAGAATAGTACTGTGTTGAACATATGTGTGCATATGTCTTTATGGTAAAATGATTTATATTCCTTTGGATATGTGCCCAATAATGAGATTGCTAGGTTAAATGATAATTCTCTTTTAATTTCTTTGAGAAATTGCCACGCTGCTTTCCACAATGGCTGAACTAATTTACATTCCCACCAGCAGCGTATAAGTGTTCCCTCTTCTCTGAAACCTCACTAGCATGTTATTTTTTGACTTTTTAATAATAACCATTCTGACTGCTGTGAGTTGGTATCTCGTTGTGGTTTTGATGTGCTTAGCGATGTCGAGCATTTTTTCATATGCTTCTTGGCTGCATGTAGGTCTTTGAAAAGCCTTTGTTCATGTCCTTTGCCCAATTTTTAAAGAGATTGTTTTTTGCTCGATCATTTAAGTTCCTTGTAGATTCTGGATATTAGACCTTTGTTGGGTGCATAGTTTGCAAATATTTTATCCCATTTTGTGGGTTGTCTGTTGACTCTGTTGACAGTTCATTCTGCTCTGCAGAAGCTCTTTAGTTTACTTAGGTCTCATTTGTCAATTTCTGGTTTTTGTGGTCAATGTTTTTGGTGTCTTCACCATGAAATACTAGCCAGGGCCTATTTGAGAATGGAATTTCCTAAGTTATCTCCTGGGGTTTTTATAGTTTGCGGTTTTACATTTAATTCTCCAATCCATGTTGAACTGATTTTTGTAGGGTGCAGCACACCAACATGGCACATGTATACATGTGTAACAAAACCTGCACGTTGTGCACGTGTACCCTAAAACTTAAAGTATAATAGTAACAAAATAAAATAAAATAAAACAAATGGAAAAGAAAGAAGGGGTTACATTTCAGTCTTTTGCATGTGGCTTGCCCATTATCCCAGCACCATTTATTGAATAGAAAGTCCTTTCCCTACTGCTTGTTTGTATCCTCTTTGTGAAAGTTCAGATGGTTATAGGTGTGCAGCACTATTTCTGGCCTCTCATTATGTTCCATTGGTTTATGTGTCTGTTTTTGTACCAGTATCATGCTGTTTTGGTTACTGTAGCCTTGTAGTATAGTTTGAGGTTGGGTAATATGATGCCTCCAGCTTTGTTCTTTTTTGCTTAGGATTGCCTTATTTGCCCATTTTTAAGTGGATTTTTTTTGTTTTGTTTTTTTGCTTGTTGCTTTGTTTAAGTTCTTTATACTTTCTGGATATTAGACCTTTGTTTGGAAGCATAGCTTGTGAGTATTTTCTCCCATTCTGTAGGTTTTCTGCTTACTCTATTGATAGTTCCTTTTGCTGTGCAGAAGCTCTTTTGTTTAATGAGGTCCCACTTGTCAACTCTAGTTTTTGTTGCAATTACCTTTGAGGACTCAGCCAAAAATTCTCTGCCAAGGCTGTGGCTGAGAAGAGTATTTCCTAGGTTTTCTTCTAGGATTTCTATAGGCTGAGGTCTTAAATTTAAATCTGTAATCGATTTTGAGTTGATTTTTGTATATGGTGAAAAATAAGGGTCAAGTTTCACTTTTTTTTGTATCTGACTAGCCAGTTATCCCAGCACCATTTATTGAATAGAGAGACCTGAGAGTTAGCTTGGTTGAATGTTCTTAGGCTCCAGACTCAAGCCCACAACTTTCCTCAGTAGGGGCTTCTAAACAGAGAGTCTTTTCTCCATTGCTTATTTTTGTCTGCCTTGTTGAAGAGCTGATGGTTGTAAGTGCATGGATTTATTTCTGGGTTTTCTATTCTGTTCTATGGGTCTATGTGTCTGTTTCTGTACCAGTAGCATACTGTTTTGGTTACAATGGCCTTATAGTTTGAGTAGTGTGATGCCTCTAGTTTCATTCTTTTTACATTTTTTTCAATTTTTCTGGGTACAGAGTAGGTGCATATGTTCATGTGGTACATTTTGCATGGGATTGTTTTGACTATTCAGGCTTTTTTGGCTCTGTATGAATTTTCTATCTTTTTTTCTAATTCTGAGAAGAATGGTGTTGGTGGTGAGATAGGAATACCATTAAACTGTTGATTGCTTTGGGCAGTGTGGCCATTTTAACTATATTGATTCTTGTAATCTATTAGTATGGAATGTTTTTCCATTTATTTCTGTCATCTCTGATTTCTGTCAGCAGTGTTTTTGCCATTAATTTTGTAGAGGGTTTTCTGGTTAACTGTATTCCAAGGTATTTAATTTTCTTTGTGCCTATTGTAAATGGGATTGTGTCCTTGATTTCACTCTCAGCCTGGACATTATTGATGTATGGAAATGCTATTGATTTTTATACAATGATTTCATGTCCTGAAACCTTCCTAAAATTGTATGTCAGTTCTAGTTGCCTTTTTGTGAAAGCTAGTTTTCTAAGTATAGAATTATATCATCAGTGAATAGAAATAGTTTGACTTCTTATTTTCCTATTTGGATATCTTTTATTTCTTTCTTTTGCATAATTGCTGTGGCTAGGACTTCAAGTACTCTGTTGAAGAAGTGTGGTGAGAATGTACATCCTTGTCCTTTACCAGTTCTTAAGGGGAATACTTCCAGCTTTTGCCCATTCAGTATCATGTTGGCTGTGGGTCTGTCATAGATGGCTCTTATTGTTTTGAGGTATATTCCTTCAAAATCTAGTCTGTTAAGGGTTTTTATCATGAAGGGATGTTGGATATTATTGAATGCTTTTTCTGCATCTATTGAGATGATCATGTGGTTTTTGTCTCTTATTATGTTTATGTGATGAATCACATTTATTGATTTGCATACATTGAATCAGCCTTACCTCTCGGGAATAGTACCTACTTGATCACAGTGTGTTAACTTTTTGATGTGCTGATGGATTCAATTAGCTAATATTTTGTCGATGATATTTGCATCTGTATTCATAAGGGATATTGCCCTGATGATTTGTTTTTTGTTCTGTCCCTGCCAGGTTTTGGTATCAGGATGATACTGGCTTCATAGAATGAGTTAGGGAGGAGCTCCTACTCCTCAATTTTTTGGAATAGTTTCAATAAAATTGGTAGAGTTCTTTTTTTAACTCTGGTAGAATTCAGCTGTGAATCTATCTGGCCCAGGACTTACTTTGGTTGGTAGGTTTTTTTATTATTGATTCTGTTTCACAGCTTGATGTTGGTCTAATCAGGGTTTCAATCTCTTCCAGGGATTCAATCTTGGGAGATTGTGTGTTTCCATGAATTTATCCATTTCTTCTAGATTTTCTAATTTGTATGCATAAAGTTGCTTATAGTATTCTTTGAGTATCTTTTGTATTTCTGTGGGATCAGTTGCAACATCATTTTTGTTATTTCTGATTGTACTCATTTGGGTCTTCAGCTTTTTTTCTATGTTAATCTAGCTAGCAATCTACCAATTTTGTTTATTTTTATTTTGAAGGACCAATTATTGGTTTCGCTGACCTTTTGTACATATTTTTGCATCTCACTTTCATTAAGTTTTTCTCTATTTGTAGTTATATCTGTTCTTCTGCTAGCTTTGAGCTTTTTTTTTTCTAGTTCCTTTAGGTACAAAGTTGGATTATTAAATTCAGATTTTTCTAACTTCTTGATGAAGGTATTTAGTGCTATAATCTTTCCTCTTATTATCTTATTTACTTATTTATATAAAAAGTTTTATTTCCTGCTTTAGCTTCATTTCAGAGATTTTGGTTAGTTGTGTCCCTGTTTTAATTTCAAAGAATTTTTTTGATTTTTGCCTAATTTCAGTGTGGACCCATGAGTTACTCAGGAGCAAGTTGTTTACTTTCCATGAATTTGTGTACTTTTGAGAGACCTTCTTGACGTTTATTTCTAATTTTATTGCACTGTGGTTCAAGAATGTGCCTGGGATGATTTCAGTGTTTTTGAATGTATTCAGACTTGCTTTCTGACGAAGCGTGTGGTTGATCTTACAATATGTTCCATGTGTAGATGAGAATGAATATTCTATGGTTGTTGGATGGAGTGTTCTGTAGATGTTTATTAAGTCCAATTAGTCAAGTGTCAAATTTAAGTCCAGAATTTCTTTGTTCGTCTTCTGCCTTAACGATCTAAAACCATCAGTGGAGCAGTGAAGTCTCCCAGTATTATTGTATGATTGTCTAAGTCTTTTTGTAGGCCAAGAAAAACTTGTTTTATGAGTCGGGTGCTCCAATGTTCAGTGTGTATACATTTAGGATAAAGTCTTCTTGTTGAACTGAACCCTTTATCATTATGTAATGCCCTTCTTTGTCCTTGGTAATTGTTGTTGGTTTGTTTTATACGCTATAAGAAATAGTGACCCCTACTATTTTTTGTTTGTTTTTTGTTTACATGACAAATCTTTCTGCATCCCTTTACTTTGACCCTGTGGGTTTCATTACATATGAGATTGGTCTCTTCAAGACAGCAGACAGTGGTGTCTTGCCTTTTTATCCAACTTACCACTCTATGCCTTTTAAGTAGGGCATTTAGATAACTTACATTTAAGATTAATATTGATATGTCAGATTTTGATCCTGTCATCATGTTGTTAGCTGGCTGTTTTATAGACTTGACTGTGTAGTGCTTCATAGTGTCTATGGGCTATGTGCTTAAGCGTGTTTTTGTGGCAGCAGATGCTGTTCTTTTGTTCACGTGTTTAGCACTCCCTTAAGGACCTGTTATAAGGCTAGCTAAGTTGAAATGTATTACCTTAGCATTTTATTTTCTGAGAAGGATTTTATTTTTCCTTCACTTATGAAGCTAAGTTTGGTGGGATATGAAATTCTTGGTTGGAGTTTATTTTCTTTAAGAATACTAAAAATAGGCCCCTAATTTTTTCTGGCTGATAAAGTTTCTGCTGAAAGGTCTGCTGCTAGCCTGATGGAGTTCCCTTCATACATAACCCGACCTTTCTTTCTAGATCCCTTTTCTTTTGCATTAACTATGGTGAATCTGAAGATTATGTGCCTTGTAAATCTTGTACAATATCTAGCCAGGATTCTCTGTATTTCTTGGATTTGCATATCATCCTCTCTAGCAAGATTAGGAAGATTTTCATGGACTATATAGTCGAATTTATTTTCCAAGTTGTTTATTCTCTGTCCTTCTCTCTCAGTAATGGCAATGAGTTGTAGATTTGGTCTCTTTATATAATCTTTCTCAGAAGTTTTGTTCACTTTTAAAATTGTTTTTTCTTTATTTTTGTCTCACAGTGTTAATTCAAAGAACCAGTCTTTGAGCTCAGAGATATTTTCCTTAGCTTGGTCTATTTTGCTGTTAATACTTCTAACTGTATTATGAACTTCTTCTAGTGAATTTTTAACTCGAGAGTTTCAGTTTGGTTCTTTCTTAAAGTGGCTATTTTGTCTTTCAGCTCTTCTGTCATTTTACTGGATTCCATGGATTGGATTTCAAATTTGTCCTGAATCTCAATGAGCTTCCATGACATCCAGATCCTGAATTCTATGTCTCTCATTTCAGTAATTTCTTATGGTTTAGGAATCATTGCTGGGAAAGACACAATCTAACCTTGAGTGACCTTGAATGTAAATGGGTTAAATGCTTCAAGGCATTTAAAAGGCATAGAGTGGCAAGTCAGATAAAGAAGCAAGACCCAACTGTATTCTCTCTGCAAGAGACCCATCTCACATGCAGTGATATCCAGGGGCTCAAAATAAAGGGATGGAGAAAAAATAGACCAAGCCAAAGAAAACAGAAAAGAGCAAATGGTCTGATTCTAATTTCAGACAAAATAGACTATAAACCAATAACAATCAAAAAAGACAAGGGTATTTCATGATGGTAAAGGGTTAAACTCAACAAGAAAACCTAACAATCCTAAGAATATATACATCTAACACAGAAGTACCCAGACTTATAAAGGAAGTTCTTAGAGACCTTTGAAGAGACTTTGATAACCACACAATACTACTGGGAGACTTCAACAACCCACTGACAATATTAGAGCATTGAGACAGAAAATGAACAAAGAGATTCGGGACTGAGCTCAACATTTGACAAAATGGTCCTAACAGACATCTACAGTACTCTCCACCCAAAAACATTAGAATATTATACATTCTTCTCATCTGCACATGGCACATACTCTAAAATCAACGACACAATCAATCATAAAACAATTTTCAGGAAATTCAAAAAATCCAAAATCATACAAACCACACTTTCTCAGATTACAATGCAATAAACATTGAAATCAATACAATAAAATACATCAAAAGCATACGTGAAAATTAACCAACCTTCTCCTCAATGACTTTTGGGTAAACAACGAAATTCGGGCAGAAGTCAAGAAATTCTTTGAAACTAATGAGAACAAACATACTACGTATCAAAATCTCTGGGACACAGATAAAGCAGTATTAAGAGGAAAGTTTATATCACTAAAAAAAAAAACTACATCAAAATATTGGAAAGATTTCAAATTAACATCCTAACATCACACCAAGAGGAACTAGAGAAACAAAAGCAAATCAGTCCCAAAGCTAGCAAGAGAAGGGAAATAACTGAAATCAGAGCTGAACTGAAAGAAATTGAGATGCAAAAAACCATACAAAAGATAAACAAATCCAGGTTTTGTTGCTTCAGAATAACACATCAGATTGATAGAGCACTAGCTAGACTAATAAAGCAAAAAAGAGAAGAGATAAAAATAAACACAGTCAGAAATGACAAAGGAAACATTACCACCAACCCCAAAGAAATATTTTTTAAAAACCCTCAGAGACTACTATGAACAACTTTATGCACACAAACTAGAAGAAATTAATAAATTATTGGAAACATACAACCTCCTAAGATTGAACTAGGAAGAAACTGAAACTCTGAACAGACTAATAACAAGTTCCAAGACTGTGTTAATAATAAAAAGCCTACCAACCAGAAAAAGCCCAGGATCAGAGGAATTCACAGCTGAGTTCTACCAGATGCATAAAGAAGAGCTGGTACCTTTCCTCTGAAACTATTCTGAAAATTTGAGGAGGAAGGACTCCTCCCTAATTTATTCTATGAAGCCAACATCATTCTGATACCAAAACCTGGCAGAGATACAACAAAAAAAGAAAACTAGCAAAAAAAAAAAAAAAAAAAAAAAAAGAAAAGAAAAAAAGAAAATACTAGCAAACTGAATCCAGCAGCACATTAAAACTCTACTCCAACACAATCAAGTAGGGTTTATCCCTGGAACACAAGGTTGGTTCAGCATATGCAAATTAGTAAATGTGATTCACCACATAAACAGAACTAAAAACAAAAACCATCTAATCTTCAACAAGGCTGACAAAAACAAGCAATGGGAAAAGCACTCCCTATTCAATAAATGGTGCTGAGATAACTAGGTAGCCATATGCAAAAAATGGAAACTGAACCCCTCCCTTATACCATATATGAAAATCAATCCAACTGGATTAAAGACTTAAATGTGAAACCCCAAACTATAAAAACCCTGGAAGACAACCTAGGAAATTCCATTCTCAGCATAGCCCCTGACAAAGATTTCATGACAAAGATGACAAAAGCAAAAATTAATAAATGTGACCTAATTAACCTAAAAAGCTTCTGCACAGCAAAATAAATTATCAACAGAGTAAACAGACAACCTATAGAATAGGTTAAAGTATTTGCAAATGCACGCCTGTAGTCCCAGCTACTCGGGACGCTGAGGCAGGAAAATTGCTTGAACCCAGGAGGCAAAGGTTGCAGTGAGCCGAGCCCGCACCACTGCCCTCCAGCCTGGTGACAGAGTGAGACTCCATCAAAAAAAAAAAAAAAAAAAAAAAGAGTAGTCAAGGCTGGGCGCAGTAGCTCACGCCGGTAATCCCAGCACTTTGGGAAGCCAAGGCGGGTGGATCACCTGAGGTCAGGAGTTCGAGACCAGCTTGGCCAACATGGTGAAACCCCATCTCTACTAAAAATAACAAAAATTAGCCAGGCATGGTGGCAGGTGCCTGTAATCCCAGCTATTGGGGAAGCTGAGGCAGGAGAATCTCTTGAACCCAGGAGGTAGAGGTTGCAGTGGGCCGAGATTGCACCATTGCACTCCAGCCTGGGTGACAAGAGTGAAACTGCATCTCAAAAAAAATAAATAAGACATACACTTGGCCAAGAAGCATATGAAAAAAAATGCTCAACATCACTAATCATTAGAGAAATGCACATCAAAAGCACAATGAGATACCATCTCACACCAGTCAGATGGGCTATTATTAAAAAGTCAAAAAATCATAGATCATGCTGGCAAGTTTGCAGAGAAAACGGAATGTTTATGCATTGCTGGTGGGAATATAAATTAGTTCAGCCATTATGGGTAGCAGTGTGGTGATTTCACAAAGTACTTAAAACCAAAGTAGCATTCAACCCAGCAATCCCATTATTGGGCATATACCCAAAGAAATATAAATCATTCTACCATAAAGACACATGCACAAGTACCTTCATCGTAGCAATATTCACAATAGCAATGTCATGGAATCAACCTAGATGCCCATCAATGGTGAACTTGATAAAGAAAATATGGTACAAATATACTATGGAATACTATGCAGTCATAAAAAGAATGAGATCATATCCTTTGCAGCAACATGCATGGAGCTGGAGGCCATTTTCCTGAGTGAACCAACATAGGAACAAAAAACTAAACACTACATGTTCTTACTTACAAATTTGAGATAAACCTTGAATACACATGAACACAAAGAAGGGAACAATACATACTTGGGCATAGTTGAGATTGGACTGTGGGAAAAGGGTGAGGATCAGAAAACTGCCTATCAGGTACTATGCCTATTACCTGGGTGATAAATCTGTTCACCAAACCCCAATGACAAGCAATTTACCTATATAACAAATCTGCACATGTATAACTGAACCTAAAAATTAAAAAATTAAAATTAAAAAAGTAAAAGGTATCTCCAAACAAGCAAACAAATAAGGAAAGCAAATAAAAAAAATCATTGCTTGGGGTCTGGTGGACTCATCTGGAGGTATGGGGAAACTGGCTTTTTGAATTGTCAGAGTTCTTGCACTGATTCTTTCTCATCTGGAAGCATTGGCGTTCCTTTACCTGTGGTGTAATTTGAGTATAGTCACTTGGCTTTGTTTCTGAATGTTTTCAGATAGCCAAGGCTTTGTGCAGGGTCTTTATTTGTGGCTGGATTCTTGCCTTTGATTTCACTGGGGGATATTAGCAAAATATTTTTGGTGTTGTAGCAGTTTTGGCTGCAATCCAGTAGATGTCGCTTAAGAGTAATGGACGGTAAATACACTCTTGCTCAGGCCTGTGGTTCCTTTGTACTTCCTCACATCTACAGCCTGGTCTCCCGTACAGCGGGGAAAGAAGTGACCCCCTCACCAGGTCAGCTCCTGAGCCTTGGGGGAACCCCCTCCGATCACTAGCACTGCACCATCATTTCTTTTGCTAGGTGTTCCAGGCTGCGGGGCTCCCTCAGGCAGAGGCCACCGCAGGGAGATAGGCCACACCTTTTCCAGGCTCCTCCTGCAGAGGGAGGCGCGCCCCGCTCCCACAGCAGCCCAGGAACTCATGCGGTTACCCCTCTCGGTGCTCTGGGAGTGTGGGTTTCTCTTCCCGCTCTAGTGTTGGACCTGGGGCGAGTTCGGGCTTTTTATTCCCTCCCCTGCTTGGGGGAGCAGGGAAGGGGACCTTGGCGGTGTCGGTGGCAGAGGGCTTGTCAGTTGTCTCTGGGAACTCCACCCCAGAGAAATTCAGAGCCGCTGCCAACCAGAATGATCAGCCCGGGATGGGACGTTTGTGCTGTGGGCGCAAGCCCAGGGCCCTCCCTGGTGGAGAGCAGAGGGATCGGGGGCTTGTTGGGGGGACTGTCTGACCTCCTCTCCGTAGTGCAGCTGTGGCATGCTGGATGTGCAAGCACAGCAAGCAGGCTCTTTGTTCCCTCCCTAGCCCTGGGGGTGGCAGCAGTGGCAGAGGGCCTGTCAGCTGCCTCTGGCAACTCCACCCAGAGCTACTGCTACTGCTAAGGTGAAGGATCCAGGGGTGGGGCGGCTGTGTTGTGGGCCAAAGCCGGCCGTGTCTGGTGAAGAGTAGCCGGGGTCAGGGGCTCGCAAGGAAGACAATCTGGCCTTCTCTCCCTAGGACAGCTGCAGTCAGGCTCTTTGTTCCCTACCTAGCCTGCGGGGAGCAAGGAAGGACCTTACACTCAGCTAGGGGTGGCACAGAGCCTGCCGGTTGTCTCTGGGAGCTCTACCCCAGAGAAACTTAGGGCCACCGCCAAATGAAAGAACGGGTGGGGGTGGGGCAGCTGTGCTGGGACCCCAGGCTCGGAGGCCCTGCCCAGTGAGGAGTAGCTGGGACAGGGACCCACGTGGAAAATAATCTGGCCACTTTTCCGTATGACAGCTGTTCGTATGCCTTGCTGAAGGTCTAGGATAGTTCCTGCGCTCTTCGATCCCTCCCCAGCCTGAGGGCGGCATGTGGGAGACCACAGTACCAGAAATCTCAGGCCTATTGGTTACCTCTGGGAGTTCCTTTCCAAAGAAATGGAGAGCCTGACTGGCCTGAGTGCTCAGGTGGGAGTGGGGTGGCTGCGTGGGCGACCCAGGCCAGTGGGCTTTGCCTGGCTTGATGAAGCAAGCGGGGCCTGCGGTCAGTCTGCTCCTCAGCACCGTGGATGCAGCCCCTATTCTAGGGGCATGCGAGAGAGCTGGCCTCCCTTGTTGGTGTGGCTATGGCAGCTGGCACCAAGGTGCTCAGGGCCCCACGGCTCATGGGGCTCCAGGTGACCCTAGCTGCAGCTCTGCCCAGACTCCAGTAACCTCTCTGTGTTGGTCTGGAAGCCCCTCGGGGTCACGGGAGATCTCCTGTGCCAGGATTGCAAAGGCCCATGGCAGAAGTGTGGGTCCCAGGAGGTTCTTATTCACCCTTTCCCTATGGTAGGGAGCCTCACCTGGCTCTATGCCAATCCTGGGTGGACTGCTTTCCTGCCTGGCCCCTTTCTGCTGTCCATCGATTGCAGTTGCTTCCTTGGTGAATCCTAACATGGCCTCATGGACGATCCATGTGAAGAGCTAGTGTTTACTCACCACCCTGTCTCCCTCTCCATGAGTGGCACATGATAGCTGCTTCTGGCACCTCACCCTATTCTGTACTTTTTTATTGATAATACATGAGCAACATTATCCTACATGCTAATCAAAATCAGTGGTTTTCATTTCTGTGGTTGATTTTTAAGGGTAAGCTTACTTTCATGCTTATAAGCCTTTTCGTTTTTTTCCTTTGTTCATTGCCCACATTTCCTTCTATGTACCTATTTCATATTCATTTAAGCAAATTATTTATGTATTAGATAAATTTTTATCGTTTATATCGATTTTTAGTAATTTTTATTTTAATTTTTATTCATGGATGCCCTCTCATACAATCTTGGAGTAGGGAAAAAATATTCAATTTACATGCAAACCTTATAATCATGCAGAAAATAATCTCCACATCTATATGCCATAGAAATATTTTCAGCGTTTTTCTGCCTTTTGCCCATATAAACTTTTTTCATTTTTACATATCAAAATATGTAGCAGATATCAAGATTTAATACATCTTTTTATTTTCATTTTCTTTGTCAAACTTCAATGGCCTTTCTCACCTCCAAGATTGCAAACTTTTTATCCTATATTTTACCACCATTTTTGTTTGCTTTCTGAAGAAGCTGTCAACACACAGACAGGTTTGTCAAAGACTTTTGCCACTACCATTACAGATTCTATCAAATATACTCATACAAAATTTAATTTAGAAAAAATAATTAGAGAGACAATAACATGAGAGGTGCTCTCTACAATTCTCTTCATGCCAGACCATGGCTGATTGATGTGTTCCCTGAGCCAAGAGCTGGGAAAGTGGCTTCTTGTCCTCTCAGTCTCCTGGTTATGGCAGGGATAGGTCACTTAGCAGGTTAGTTCTACAGTGTTTTTCTGGTAACAATTTCTATAATAGATGCCCAGCATAAATAATGGTCTTCTATACTTGAAAAATTTTATAAGTACCTAATTTCTCACATTAGACCCCACTATTAATACAGGAGTTATTAAGAAATTATTTTTAGGCAGCTAGAAAGGGTAAAAGAGTCCTCAGAAAGGCTTTTCCTTTTAATAAAAAAGCAGCCCCCAAACCATTTCTTTTCTAACAGAAAGCAGCCTGAAAAGCCATGCTGGAAGCATAGGTATGTAAATTACAGGCTTGGAGAAGTAAATGCAGGTGGCTAAGAGCCAGGTCCACTCAATATGACTGTTCCCGCTCACTTTCCTTTGTTGCCACATGTGCAGTTGTCATGGCACCAGCCAAGTAAAGCCACATGTGCAGGCATCATGGCGACAGCCAGGTAGAAGCCGCATTTGCAGAATAAAAGATTAGGGTGGGAGGGCCAGTCTTTTCATGGGTTGTGTGAATGACACACCTGGTCAAAGGAATCCCCTGGGCCCTATGCAAATCAGACACTACCTCCCTGAGCCTCCCAATATAACTGACTGCTTTCCCCACAAGTGGGGTTACTCCATTCAGAGTCCTTCTCCCTCTGTATGGGGAAGCTCTTCTCTTCCTTCTTGCCTAATAAACTTTCTGTTCCTTAACCCACTCCGTGTGTGAGTCTGTGTCATTAATCGGCACAGCACAAGACAACGAACTGCAGGTATTTCCCCAGACAACGAAGCTGCTTCACTATGTTGAAAATAACTGGAGTGATTTATGTAATCTATAATACAATCTGAAGTACTAAATATCTAATAATGTCTAATAATCATCGTGAAGCTCTGAAGAAAAAATAAGTGGAATAATTTCATGACATTTTACCATGAAACAAATTGGCTTCCTTTCTTATCTCACCACCAAATTTTGGGGGGGAAATATATATTTATTTATATATTGATTAAATATATAAAAATATATATTTATAAATATATAAAAATATATATTTATAAATATATAAAAATATATTACTTATTTTATATATATGTAAATATACATATATATAAAATATATATAAAAACATTAAAATATATATAATTTTAATATATTTATATATATAAAATACTATAGTCTTTTTCATAACATACTTGCAACATACATTTGGTTTTTGATATTTTACAGTTTATTAATCTCTGCCTAAAATCTTGCTGATGTTGCTCTAACCAGTAGAGGAAAGCATTGTAGATGAACTGCTCCTTTGCTTAAAACATTAAAATGGGTTCTTACCACAATTAAAATATGAAAAAATTCTTACCTCAGACTGAAAGACCCTTGCAGTCACATAAAACTTAACCCTTAAATTTCTCACACTTACTCATTATACTTCAACCACTCTGGGGTTTCCTTTATATTCTTTAAATATAATAAGTTTATTCTCTCATTATGCATAACTCTCCTCCATTGCCTACAATGGTACCTGGCAAATGGGAGGTACTCAGTGAAAAACAGGACTTGTTAAATGAATGATATGAATTCCAGCCAGAATTCCTCCTTCTCAGTTTCTTATTATAAAATCCACTTGACAGACTACATGTCGACTCAATAACCTCTTCATGGAAGTTTTCACTTCCTGGTTGCGAAGGGTATAAATCATAGGATTCATCAATGGAAAGATCACTGTGTGAAAGAGAGAAACCATCTTGTCAGCTGGTAAGGCCCTGAAAGGGCACATGTAGATGAAGATAGCAGGTCCAAACATAAGAAGTATAATAATGACACGAGTGGTGCACATGGACATGGCCTTGTTCTTCCCTTCAGAAGCTGCCCTACGAACATGGCAGAGGATGACTGCATAGGAAGCCAGAAGCCCCAGAAAGCACAGGAGTGTCATCAGGCCACTGTTGAAGACCATCAGAAGCTCCACCACAAACATGTCGGTGCAAGCCAGCTTGATGACCTGTCGGACATCACAGAAGAAGTTGTCCAGCTGGTTTGGGCCACAAAAAGGCAAGCGGAGGATGAGGACCACCTGGATAATGGAGTGGACAAAACCCCCAAGCCACAGAGCCAACATCATTGCATAGCAGGCTCTAGGGTTCATGACAGTTGAACAGTGCAGAGGCCGGCAGATGGCGATGTAGCGGTCAAAGGCCATCACAACAAGGAGTAATCCCTCCCCTCCTCCAAGGAAGTGCAAGAAAAAGAGCTGAGTGATGCAGCCTCTGTAGGAGATTACCTTCTTCTCAGAGAAGAAGTCCACCAACATCCTGGGAGCCACAATGAAGGAGTAGGATGCATCCAGGAAGGCCAAGTTGCCCAGAAAGAAATAGAGGGGGGCTGTGAGCCCAGGGTCTGACCTTATGGTGAAAATAATGAGAAAATTTCCAGGGAGGATGATAAGGTAGAAAATTAAGATCAGCACAAAGACCAAGAGCTGAATATCTTGAGACTGAGTCAGACCAAGGAGGATAAATTCTGTCACTACTGTGTTGTTTGCTATCTTCATTTCTTCTGCCTGTAGAATATCAATAAAAGAGTTTATTTTCAGGTGTTACATCTAGATTATAGTTCTTGAACTAAACACAAGGTATGCCACATTTATATTATTCTATCTATCTCAACAACCTAAGAAATCACTTCTACTGTTTATGCTTCCTCATTTCATGATAGCCAACACCCTGGTCCTGAAGCCACACTCTTTCTTCTGTTTCAGTCCTGTGCTTCTGTTTAAGTGTTCACTCATGTGAGACTTGGATGTTACTGCTCTGAATTTGTTCCTGATTTGTATGAGGCATATGAAAATTTTTCTGACTGAGAAAAAACTTAACCCCAGTTATTGAGGTCTTCATGTTTTGCTTTGAATGGAAGATGAGCTGGGATTGACAGCAAAGAAGAATGACAGAACTTTTCAAGGGGACAGAAATGTTCCGTTTTTAATTATAATGGTTATATGTATCTATTTTTGTCAAAATTTATTGAGTATTGAACTATACAGCAATTAGTACAATTTATTTTATATAAATGCTACCTTAGGAATGTTTATCTAAAAACTTTTATAAAGGCAACTGTACTTACCAGAAATAATTCCCTTTTCTCTATAGAACATCAACCAAATGAACTGGTCTAAATAAAAAGCTCTCAGTCACTCTGGAGAAAACAAGATCTGAGGCTTCTCTGTACAGTGGCTTCCAAATTGAGACTGTGCTCATGCTTGGGGATGTGCATGATAATTTATTGGTATGAAAGCAATAATAGGAGAATTTCTACACTTACATTATTGTATCCTATTGTTTGAAGTTTTATTTTTGAACATTTTACATTTATATAGAATCATGATGTAATTGGATATGAAATGCATAAAGAAGATACGTATGTTTTTGGTGCATGTTCAAAAAATGGTTTGTGGTTGAAATAAAAAAATTTAAAAGCTAAAGATCTTGAGCTAGAACAAAATACTACAATGTGATACAGAAAAATATTTCATATGCTTCTGTTACACAGCACATTTGTTTTAAAATAATGTGGACTATGAAGCGTAGAGGGAAAGAGGTTCATTAACTAACTGAATGAGGAGTCGGTGTGTAAGAAGAGAGGGAAACAAAAACAATAAAGTCCCGAATTAAGAAATCAAAGAAAATATTTATAATGGCACATCTATTTAAAACATCAAAAGATATGCTTTTCAAAATATATCTAATCCTAATATATTAATTAATAGCAGAGGTTTTCAGGTATGGTCAGAATTGGGAATTATGAAAGAAGTACCTAGGCCAGGCACTGTGGCCCACACCTGTAATCCCACCCTTTTTGGAGGCCAAAGCAGGTGGATCACTTGAGGCCAAGAGTTCGAGACCAGCCTGGCAAAACCCTGACTCTACTAAAAATATAAAAATTAGCTGGGCGTGGTGGCAGGAGCCTGTAGTCCCAGCTACTTCAGAGGCTGAAGCATGAGAGTCGCTTGAACCTGGGAGGTGGAGGTTGCAGTGAGTCCATATTGTACCACTGCACTCCAGCCTGGGTGACAGAGCAAGACTCTGTCTCAAACAAAAAAAAGTATCTTACATCACATGTATGTACATCACACAGACACAAATAAATACACGCAAACACACGTATCCTAACCAAAACAGAAGCATAAAATTTTACATATCATACCCTTCTTTTCTTTTTTTTTTTTTTTGGCACTTGGCCATTTATTGACCTTAATATTTATCAGTCTTTCTGTGCATATAAAACCTGCTAATAGAAAAGTCGGGAATCCCTCTCTGCTTACTCTTAAGTTGTGTACATCTTGCATGTTATTATGCAGTTGGTTATTTCATACTCTTTCAAAAATTGAGGATGTATTTGGGTCATAGGAGAAACTTTCAAGTATCTCTGAGATTGGGAGTTTCAGGTTCTTGCACTGTACCTTGCATTTTATTCCCTGTTATCCACTTCTGTTCTCCTACTGACTCTGTAACATCTGGAACCCTCTACCATCAAATATCTTTGATTCACTGTGTTCCCTTTGTGTGCTTCCCTCTAAGCTCTTTTGTTATATGGATAGTGCTCACATCATGCTCATTATGGATCCAGAAACCAAATATATATATTCATAAGGTGGACATTCCTCTAGGTAAAATGAAGTAAGTCCTAGCAAAATAAAAGCACAGAAATTCCTGCAAAGACAAGCTTGGTCTTGTCTAACTATATTAGAAGAACATAACAATGTTAGAAGGATCACTGTCAGTGGAAGCTGAAATAGAAATCTGAATGACTGCCACTCCCTCTATCCTATATTTCAATTTCAACAGAAACAAAATTTCATCTGTTCCTGACAATGCTGGAGCAGCACAGAAGAGGAAAGAGTGATGGGTGGGGGCACACACACATTCCAGATAAAGGCTGCGCTATGCACTGTTCACGTTTAGAGTCCAGGCTCTTGTTAGAAAGTTCATGGAGCAGGTATTTGGAGATTTGATTCCCATCCACAGGCACTAATTCACTCATTTTTCTTTATATTTCCTCATGCCTCCTTTTAAAATATTTATTTTATTATCTTCCCCTCCCATCTCGCTAAATATTTCTACACTTCATTTTTTAAGTTATACTTTTACTTAAGTTGGTTTCTCTTTCTCTATTTTATCTTCTCTTTCTCTCTCGTATTTGTTCTCTAATGATTCCCCTTGCTTTTCTCTTATCTCTTCTATTTTTTCTCCTTTGTTGTTTTTACTTCTCAATGTTCTTGCAGTTTCCAATATTTTTCCACTCTCTTCTTCTCTATTCATTTCTCCTTTATTAGATCTCATGTTTGCCTTCCCATTAATTCTGAGAAGCATCACTATTGTTTTCTTTTGAAACAGTAGTAAGGACAGCACATGAAGTTTCTTCACTCCAATTTTTGTAAGGGTTAAAAATACCTAACCCATCTTTCAGTACTAAATTACTTTCCTTGAATAGTATCCTACTTAAAATATACTGTGTAAATACTTTTAAATTATTTCCCATTACCTCAAATATTTTGTCTGTTTATAACTGATCTTAATAAAAGTGGCACTATTCACCTTTCTGCTTGAAAGAAATTTCTCATTAATCCACCCTACCAGCAAAAACACATTTTAGAAATGTTCCCAAAATAAGAATAAGAATGTGATGTCTATTAATATGTGCTATCTAGTTTGTAACCCATAACCTATATAATCACTAATTTTTTGTGTGTTCTGAGAAATGTGGATAAAGTTAGAGTATCATCAAATCATTAACTGATACCAATGTTTATAATGCCATGATTTCTAGGCAAAGTAATGGATGTCATTTAAAAAGCCCTCGTTTGGGCATCTATCTGGGTTTAAGTTCTTCATTGTGCAATTTTTTTAACCGTGAGATCTTGGGAAGGTCATCTTCTTTAGCCTGAGTTATTTTATCTCACTGTGTTGATTTATGAATATAATATGAGAATGATAGCAATAAGTAGCATATTGAAGTCTGACTAAACCAAAACTAAACAAGGAAAAAATGTAGATATTAAGAGGGGCTTTAGTTTCTAAGAAGTAAATATATAATATAGATCCTCTGTCCCTGCCTTTGAAATGAGTTGCTGGGGTAAAGGTAGCTATGTTAATGTAAGAAATTACTAGAAAAGAATTTATGAAGGCTTCATTTCAGCCAGCTGTCAAAGCCCCAGATTGGTATATGGTAAGACTCTTTGTAAAAGAACCTCTCATCCCAGCAGGTGTGGGAACTAGACAGAGCTAGTCTCCTGCAAAATCGTGAAGTTGGTGAAGATTTCTTCTGCAGCCTAGCATTTCTGCATTGGATATGACTTCTGTTCCCTCACGTCTTTCAGTTAATAGCTATAGGTTTAGGACCAAGTATAAACATTCCCAAGGCAATGTTAATAAAGGCTTTATATATTCCCAATAAATTAATTCTAAATATTAGGAGAAACTGGGGCTATATTATTAAGACCAGGTAAAAGGTGCTACTGTATTACTGAATTCAGATTAAACATATTAATCTATTTCTAGTTTGAAACCCATAACCTATATAATCACTATAATTCTGATCTTTGCATTTCAAGGCAGCAGATGTCCCACCTGAGGTGTTACAATATGTTTCCATTTCTTCCTTATGTTCCTTATAAATATGGAGAATGGAAAAACATTTACCTCTCTAGTAATCTAATGCTCCTGTCAAACAGCAGATATCACCTCCTTCTAATAGAAGGAACAATAACTAATTTTTCCTGACTTCATTGTTAAATATCTCTTCTCACAGAGGAATCTCTTATGCAACCAATTTGTGATGCAATGGAGAATGTACTTTGGGAATTTGAAGGCTAACAAAGCTGCAAACACTTTCAAAGGGAATTGTTAAAATGCCAACAAAATATAGTCAAAGAATGAGACTAGAAACATGTTATATATAAATAGTGAAGTATATATGATTTAAAAGTCACTATGTCACTTCTAAGTTTTAAAATCAACATTCTATCAGTGACACATATTACAGAATAGTCAGCATGTTTACTAGGTCCATGTGGGCAGAAAGCCAAAAGAGGTTATTTTATTTCTTACGTTACTTTTTTTTTTTAAAAAAGTGTATAATAGGAAATCATTGATAGATCAAGAAAAGAAGTAATGTGGTCAGGTAGGTAGTATGGTAAATTCAACATATTTCTGATGACAAAGAAATAGGCAAAGAAAAATAAATGATGTTCACAAAGACTCTTTGGCATAATCCTTCTTGGAGACGAGAACTGCATATTGAAGGACTAATTCCTCACAAAGAGATGTATTCTTAAATACACCCTATTGTGGTCTTGGCCTTTGTTGTTTTCATTTTAGGAATAAGTGTCTCCTATGTTCCACTAAAGCAAAGACAACTATTTTTTTAAGTAAATATTACTAGACAGAAGAAAAGTAATTAAGAATCACATAGTAGAACACAATATAATTAAATTTCAGTAGATTTATTTTTATTTTAAAAAGATTTTTTATTTTAAAAATTAATATACTAAACAGTTTTTCAACAAATATAATGCATAATCAATAATATTTTGTTCTAATTTATGTCCAATTCAGAAAATAATAAGTGGGAAAAATGGAACATGGGGAAAAGAGAAAAAGGGAGAAAGAGATACACAAAATCATAAAGGTAAAAAAACCGGGGGGGAGAAATGCAAGAACAGGAACAAATGCAAAGACAGTAATGGAATAATAGGAAATAAAAAGCCAGGCACAAAAATTCATATTTTGTAAAACTATATACACCAAATAAACTAAAAAGTGTAGTGTTTACTTTCTTAAAAGAAACAGAAAAGAAGTGATATAAGTAAAGAAACACATGGAAAAACATTCCCATTTTTGAGTATATTATAGTCTTTCTTGCTACCAAAGATTTTTTAAAATATGATTTTTTCATAATTGTAGACATAATTAGGGACTTTGCTTCCTAATGTTTTCCACAATACTTAAAGTGAAGATAGTCTAATGATCTAAATTAATCCTTAGAATGAAGGCTTGTTATTCCTGCTAGGAAAGATTTGTCTCCCTAGACTATCTTAGAAACTAAAACCATGTACCAGGCTGTATTGTAGTGTCTGCAATGCAGCACCGAACAAGACAGAAAATATCCCTGTTCCTGGGGATTTTACATCCTAAAGCATGGAAACAGACAACAAACAAACATACCAGAGAGAAAACAACTGATTGTAATGAGCACTATGATAAAAATATAAGAGAAAGCGGAAGAGACTACTATTCCAAGTGAGCTGGCCAGGGAGGGCCTTTCTGACAAGGTGGCAACATTTCAACTAAGATCTGAATGACAGAACTACACCGTCTCTGGGAAGATCTGAAGATAGACTTGTTGAAAGCTCATTAAGGGAGAGACTGGTGCATTGAGAAGCAGAAAGGAGGCTAGTGTGGCAAGACAGTAGTGAGCAAATGGAAAAAATTGTAAGGGAAGATAGAGAGGTAGAGCCGATATGGGCCAAATGGCAATCGGTCAACATACTATGTGTGAGATGTAACAGGCAGAGGAGTGTTCCTACCTGATTTACATGTTTAAAATGTTGTGCCAGGTACTAAGTGAAAAACGGGCTATAAAATGCAAGAAGTGGAGGCAAGGGGAACAGTAGGGAGCATTTGAAGAACTATTAATATAAATAAGAGATGTTGGTAGGTTAGGATAAGAGGTAAAAAAGAAGACAGAAGAATTTATACCAAAGATAAACTTTGGAGAGATAATCAATGGGACTTATTGAAGGACTGCATATGAGAGGTATGGAAGCAAGAATAACTCAGAATTTTTAATGGCATTACCATAAGGTTGGAAATTAGGCAGTGTACTTTAAATATACTTGACTTAAAAAATGTATTTAATTTTTGAATAGGTAATATATTTACATTTTTAAATAAAAAAATAATTCATACAGTGAGAAATTTCCTTCTTATATCTGTCCCCTATATGTCCATTTCACCCCATACCTCAAAACTGGAAGCTAATATTAATTTTTGTATCCTTCAAGAAATTTATCTGTATTTACAAGCAAGCATGAAAATAAATTCTTGGTTGTATTTCTTAGAATACAATGTATATACATTAAAATACACACATTTAAGTGTTCAACGTAGTAACTTGTGTTAAATATATGCACTTTAGAAACTAGTATTCTAAACAAGATAAAGAATATTTCCGTCACTCCAGAAAGGTTTCTTGTGATCTTTGCCATCCACCCCCACCATCTAACATCATAATGAGCTTTCATCTTTTAATTCCTAATAGCATAGATTAGTTTTACCTTTTCTTGGATTTTATAAAAACAGAAGCATATGACATGTGTTATTTTGTATCTGGCTTTTAAACTCAGCATTACGATTTAGAGATTCATGCGTATTGTTGCATTTTCTGTAGTTGTTTCTTTTTACTGCGGACTAATGTTTCATTATATACTTAACCCTAAGTTTGTTTATTATCATTTTATCCTTTTATGGACATTTGGGTTGTTTCAAATCTTAGGCCACCAATAAGGTTTTCATTAGCATGCGAATTTAAATCATTTCATAGACATGTCTTAGCTAAACACGAATGGGATTATCAGGTCATAAGGTAGCTGTTTGTTTACATCTACCTGAAATTACCTGAAGTTTCTATTAAGTTTTTCAGAGTGGTTAGCCATTGTAAATTCCCAACATCAATGTATGAGAGTTCAAGTTACTCCAACAATTAATTCACCAACATTTGGTGTTGTGTTTTACTTATGCCATTATATTTTCTGCATTTCTAATGCTTTGATGTCTTGTGCCTTCCTAACACTGGAGGAACTATCCCTCTTATGGCTAGCCAATTCCTAGAGATGGTAAAAGCCTCACTTGCAACCAATCTAGAAACCACACTCCAGCCACTTCTTTTATCAGGCACCTATAGCGCTATTACACTCCAGGCCACTATTTGCCTTCCCTAATCACCCCAGGGCCAAGTGCCAGACACTTAGAGACAGCCCCTATCCTCCAGAGCCCACTGGAATTATTCAATCTAGCCAATCCTAAACCTGCTTATCCTGCCCCATCCATTTATTTCCAGAGAAACCATGATAAAGGCTCTTACCCACATTTTTCTCATTTCCCCACTCACCTAACCAACCTCTTATTTCTAGGGATTTGTGAGTCTAAAAACTTCTTCCTTCATGACAGTCATTTCCATGACAGTGTGTCTTACCATTCCAGATTAAAATAAATACCGGGCACCTTTAAAACAGTGCAGCAGACAAGAACTACATCTTGATGGCAGCTACATTGTTTTTGTCAGTAGTTGCCACAGGCTCCCAACATAAAATTGTGGAGCTCGGAAAGCTGAGTCCTCCCAGCGCTGCTGCATAGTCTAGAGTGTCAAGTGCCTGGGACTGAGCACCTGGAGGCACTCAATATATTTCTTCATGTTGGTAGAGCATCCGGAGTCCAGGAGAGAGCACGTGAGGGTGAGGATGTATTGGTAATTGGCTATATCAGTTTCTAGAAAGATTCGTCCGAAGGGGATGAGAACTGACTGCCTTCCTAGTGCCATGGATGAATCTGGCCCACTGACCAGGCAGCACTAACAAGCAATGGGGAAACTGAGTCATTTTTATGGACGTGTCTAGTCTCCAGTATGTTATATGTTCCTGGGGCACTTGATAAACCCCTTCCTCTTTTCCTTCTCTGCTATTTTGTTCTGTTCCTCAGAGTAGTGGGAGAGCGCTCTGCCTGAACACTTGATCGTGTGTTGTGGACCATTCCCTGCTGAGTAATGACGTGCATCTTTTCGTGAACTTGCTGATCACTTCTGTATCTTCTTTTCTGGAGTGTCTGTTCAAATTTTTTGCTGATTTTTCTTTACTTGAAGACAGAGAGAAACAGGGAGATTAAGAGAGACCAAATTTTCCTCCCAGTGTATGATTTCCTTAATAATTTGATGATAGTGTATCTTGACGAGCAGTAATTTTTAATTTTTTGAGGTTCATTTGATCACTTTTTATTATTACACCTGCTTTTGTGCTGCTTAAGATATCATTGCTTATTCCAATTGTGTAAGCAAATATATTATTCTGTGTTTTCTTCTAGATACTTTATATTTCTAGTTACTACATTTAGGAGTATAATCCAGCTCTGAAGATGCTCTTATTTGATTATATTTTCACTGAGATAAAAACTCTTTTCTCTTGTCATAATATAACTCTTCACTGGTTTACTTTTTTGTTGTTAAAGAAAAGAGATCAGCCGGGTCCCGTGGCTCATGCCTGTCCCAGCACTTTGGGAGGCCGAGGCAGGTGGATCATTTGAGGCCGGGAGTTCAAAACCATCCTGGCCAACATAGCAAAACCCCTTCTGTACTAAATATACAAAAATTACTCGAGCATGGTGGCATGGACCTGTAATCCCAGCTACTCAAGAAGCTGAAGCAGGAGAACTGCTTGAACCCGGGAGGCGAAGACTTTAGTGAACCGAGATCGAGCCACTGCCCTGGAGCCTGGGACACAGAGTGAGACTCTGCTTAAAAAAAAAAAAAAAAGGAAAAAAAAAGGAAAGAAGGAAGGAAGGAAACCAGTGAGATATTATCCTGACTGCCTTTCCCTTGAAGACGATCTCCGTTTTCAACGTCTGCTTAGTTGTCTTTATAGTTTAATAAGCCTAATACTAGATTAAATACAGTAGCCCCCTCTTACCCAGTGTTGCTTTCTGTAGTTTCTGTTGTCCATGGTCAACTTCAGTCCAAAAAATGTTAAATGGAACATTCCAGCAGCAAACAATTCATAAGCTTTAAATTATGCCCCATTCTAAGTAGCAGGATGAAATCTCAAGCTGTCCTTCTCCATCCTTCCAGGGACATGAGTCATCCCTTTGTCCAGTGTATCCATGTTATACATGCCACCTGCACGTTATCACTTAGTAGCCAACTTGGTTATCAGTTAGACACAGCATCACAGTGCTTGTGTTCAAGTAATCCTTATTCTATTTAATAATGGCCCCAAAGTGCAAGAGTAGTAATGTTGGCATATTGTTGTAATTGTTCTATTCTATTATTGGTTGTTATAAATCTGTTACTGTGTCTAATTTATGAATTAAACTTTATCATAGGCATATATGTATAAGAAAAACATGGTATATATAGGATTTGGTACTATCCATGGTTTCAGGCATCCACAGGTGTCTTGGAACATATCTCCTATGGATAAAAGAGGACTACTGTGTGTATATATATATATATATATATATATATATATATATATATATGTGTGTGTGTGTGTGTGTGTGTATATATATGTATATATATGTGTGTGTGTGTGTGTGTGTCAGAAACCCAGCCTTTTGTCCTAGTCACATGTTTGACTGTAATTTGTTCTCTGATAATTTCATCAAAGAGGTCTTAAAAACAACATTCACAGATTTTTGTTGCATATTTAAAACTTTGTGGCCTGCTTATTTAAATGCCAGTTTTGTGGGATATAAAATCTGAGGGTTATACTTATTTATGTAAGCATGTTGTAGCTTGTCTTCACCTGGACCTCTATTTAATGGTAATTATATTTTGGAACAATGCATGATAGGCCAACTGGTCTGCTTCCAATGGAGTTGGAGGGGTGAGACTTTATAAACTTTGTTAAAGAAAATCCCTGAGAAAAGAGATTGCCAGTGATACTTGTCTTGTTCTTTATATATTCATATGTTTTTAACTTTTAATGAATATATATTATTTTAGTAATTAAAAAAACAGAAGAACTTTAATTTTGTTTGAGCAATAAAGCTCTCTTTTAACCAGATATAATAATAAAGTTCTGGTTAATATTGAGATTAGCAAAAAGCCAGAAGATGAATGGGACTTGGGTTCTAAAGTCTCACACAAGTCAGTGTATAATTGAAAGTATAATCACAATACTGAGCTAAAGATAATATACTCAACCGAGATATTGCTGATTTTAAACATAGTAGCTCAGCAGCAGTTTTGAAAGAAAGAGGAGTAGGAGAGACTGAAAGAAAAAAAAAGAGATTAAAAGACATTTAAAAGTAACTGAAAGAAAATATAGGAGTTATATAGGGAAAAGGAGTCCTGAATCATATTTTGTATTTGACTGCTGAGGATCCTGAGCTATTTGGAAACAATATTCAATGAGACAAGATTGCATATGAGGTTAACACCTATTTCTTCTACACTAACCTGCCTTATCCCTGCCCATTATTTAAGTCAGAGTTTCTCAACCTGATGGAGTTCTTTATTCTTGGCACTATTGACATTTTGGGCCAGATAATCCATGTGGGAGTCAGGGGCTGGGGGCTGTCCTGTGCATTGTAAGATGTCTAAACAGTACAAGATGCCAATATATGTCCTCAGTTGTGACCACCAAAAATGTCTCTGGGCACTTCCAAATGTCCTCCAAGGGGTGAAATTGCTCTCAGTCCTTATTCCAATTATGGCCTCCATGAATCAGGCTCAGTTATTACTTACTAGAGTTTGCCAAAAGTTCCCCTTTTCTTCATTGATATTAGTTTCTAATTTCAGATAATATTCTTAAGTAAGCAATTAGTTATCACACTATTTTTATGCCTTTTTCCTTTGTATTACTAGCTTCAGTATTTTCAGTGAATATCTTTCTATATAGTACAGTGTGCTGGTGTTTGAAGAGCATATCAAATCAGTGGTCCCTTTCCCAAGAGCATCAGCCCTAGTTTGATGAAAGATAAGTGACAAAATGAATAGAAGTCTGGCTAGACCAAATATAGAGAAATGACAGTAAGATGATAAAAGATTTAGAAACGTAACTCATCATTTTATCATATTATATATATATATCTTTTGTACTCTATATTTTTTCATGCTGTGTTACAAAATGTTAGAGAAGTCTACTGCTTTATTCACTTCCAGGTGATGAGAAGTCAAGTCAAAAATCAGGACTTATAACGTCAATCTGTGCCTTTGGGTTCCTAGAAGAGAAGCAACATAGCATTGAAGATCGAAGAAGGTCACCATAAGGAAAAATTCCCAAAGCAAAAAACAAGCTTTGTGTACCACCATTCCATCCTGTGCATCTGAGATACACTGGGTCTGGCACAAATTACCTCCTCAATTAATAAATAATATCTCTGTAAATAAATAGTAACTCTAGGAATAGTTATACCATTTGTTTCTATATATTCATTCCCAATGTTGACAAGGATCTAATTCACTTAAAATTTAGTCCATATTACATTATCAAATTTAAAAAAGAAGACTAAAGATTAATATACCCAATGCATTCTTGCCCTTCAATGAAAAGATTCCCTAGTTTTGAAATTAAAAACTAATAAATTTAAGTAAAAAACATAACCTATAAAATCAAATGTTCTAATCTACCTCTTACATTCTGAAGCTTGGAGAGTGAGTTTTTAGTGCTTGAGAATAGGAAATCAGTCCCTAATAATTCTCTAAGGGATCATGGGAACCAATACGTCTAGGTCTGTCAATGGGAAAGAACTCTGAATTAAGCACTAACGAAAACAGCACTCTACCAATTTAAGTTTAACATGAGAGGCAGAATTAGCAATTATGGAAAACATACAAAAGTGGCAAAGGAGATGATAGTTTAGAAAAAAATTACACGGCTAGATGTCTACCAATCCCAGTCAACCTAGAAGCTTTCTCCCCAAGGCTGCTTTCACTCTGAAGGATGTAAGTAGGGACTGGCTACAAAAATTGCTAGTTGCCTGGAGGCTTCATCTGGAATGACATGAATCTCATGTATCAGCCAAATTATACTCTGCTTTGAATTCATAAAAATTGTTTTCATAATGTGATAAAATTTTGAGTTCTGTCTCCAAACTGTTGAATAGACACCACCTGAAATATAAACTGAAATACCTTTATAAGGTATTTCAGTTTATAAGTTGATGGAAAATCCTCATTTTCCATCAACTCTGGAAATAAGAGGAGATAAAGGACAAATAATCTGTTTTTCCAGACCCAGCAAGATGTTGACCAGATACCATTCCACTGAGCCAACACTGAAACATGACAAAAATATTTATTTGCTAACTTGAAGCTAGCTGCATCCATATGCTTGCCATTTACTTCATATTTGTAATGGACACGTCTCCATGTCTTATTTATTTTTCTCAACATGTTCCCGTCAAAGCCAGAGCCTCTGCAGAGTACTCAATAAACAATTAGTTAAAATGTACTTTAGCAGATTATTATATCTCAAATTCTAATAATGATCTGTTGGGAATTTCAGGGTAGGTGTGAGTAAATTTATTTTCATCTTAATGCCTCTATTTTTTCAATATAAAGAGGAATGAATAGAGAAAAATTATAGTAAAATTTTAATAACACAAATGAAAGGAGGAAGTCAATGCAGCATTATTACTGCAAATACTTCCTGCTTTAGGACAATGATCCTCAGGGGAACTATAAAATGTATAATTTATCTTTCACTTCTCTTTACACAAAATATATTTGGTGACCAACTTCCTCATGGCTGCCTTTACTTCCTTGTTTCTCAATGTGTAAATAATGGGATTACGTAAAGGGAATATTAAAGTATTGAACACAGACACCACTTTATCTAGGGAAAACGAGTCAAATGGGCGAGCATAAATGTAGATGGATGGCCCAAACATTAGCACCACAATGGTAATGTGGGAATAGCAGGTGGACATGGCCCTGTTGGTATTCTCACCTGAGCCTGAAAGTTTCTTGAGCAAGGCCAGAAGGAAGGCATAGGACATTAACAGAGCAATCAAACACACCACAGAGATCAGACCACTACTACAGATCATCACTAACTCCTCTGGGAAGGTGTTGGCACAGGCAATCCGGACAACCTGTGTGATGTCACAGAAGTAACTGTCTAACTCATTGGGCCCACAGAAAGGAAGTCGAACAATGAGAGCCACCTGTATGATAGAATGAATGAAGCCCCCCCTCCAGGAGAGAGCCACCAGGATACAGCAGAGACGTTGATTCATGATGGTAGCATAGTGGAGGGGTCGGCAGATAGCAGTGTAGAGGTCAAAGGCCATCACTGTGAGCAAGAACATCTCCGAAGCCCCAGCAAAGTGTAAGAAGAAGAGCTGTGCAATGCATCCATCAAAAGAAATTATCTTCCTCTCCACAAAGAAGTCTATGAGCATTTCAGGGGCTGTAATGGAAGAGTACCAAATATCAAGGAAGGCCAGATTAGCCAACAGGAAATACATAGGAGAGGTCAGATGAGGGTCTAGACTGATGGTGCAAATGATAAGGATATTTCCTGGTAGGATGAACAAATAGAAGGATAGAAATATAACAAATAGGACTAGTTGGACCTCTGGAGTCTGGGATAGGCCAGTGAGAACAAATTCTGTCACCTTGGTGTAATTTGCAGTTTCCATTTCTTCAATTTACTCTTTTCATAATATAGCTATGAAAATTAAGAAACTATAATTAGTAGACATAGCATTTACCTAGAGTTATATCACTGCTTTCAAAATTGTCATACGTTCCCTGTCACTAACAGATTACACGAGGATACATTTGGTTGCCCATTTTATATCTGATAAACCAAGAGGGAGAGAGTATGTGATGAAGTTATAAATTGGAAACATTAAAACTATATGAAGTGTGGCATATATTTGAAACTCAAATCTCAGCTTGTTAATGTTAAAAACTTACTTTTTCTGAAATTTGGCAATGCACTACTTCTTCCCCCAAACATCTACATTAGTAAGCAATATGTGAAGCTACTTCTGAGTGTAGCCAAATTTTAGACTGGCAATCAGAGATGTGGCCTCTTTTTTCTATATCTTTTTTTTTGTTGGGAAATCTTGCCAACCTGGAAACTTAGGCTTGCATTCTAATAGCACACACACAGATCTAGCAGTACTTTAGTTGTGATACAGAAAAGAGATCCCAAGGCTTCATAAGTAGTGAAGGGACATATTTTTCCATAACTGTAACCAAAACCTGTACAGCTTAATCCTTGGTAACAGGTAACCAGCCACAACATACAGCTATGCAAGGCCCTATATAAAAAATTCTTCTAGCTGTGACCAGATTCATCAATACCTGATACTACATTGAGTATAAAATTTGCTCACCACAGCAGGAACGTAAGTAGGTGTACTGATCTGAGAAATGAGTATGCTTGCTACCCAATTTGATTCTGAGCTGATCTGCTCTGCTGTTTCAAGGTGACAATGGGAATAATATTATTTTTAAAATTTTGCTTACTGCCCTGTATTGAATCTGACACCACTAAGTAGCACAAAACTTGTCAAATAAAAATGAAATAACAGTTCACATTACCAAATATGCTTTTCTTTAAGTAAGGTTAAAAACTGCCACACCAAAGTAAGTTTTGTTGTAACCAACAGCAAATACAAGAGAGTTGTTTCTTTTCTGTTGATGTGATATTTTATGATATTGCCTCTCCTATTACTTAAAAAAATTAAATATGAAAAGGAATTTTTAAAAAGTTAAGGTTCTGTAAAACCAAATAGATGTGGCTGTGTCCAAACACTTATGGGCACTACGTATACTACTGAGAAAAGAAATTAAATGCGCCATTTTTGGAACCTACTGACTCAATTTATACATAATTTTAACAAACATAGATAAATGACTTTCAATATCTTATAGAAGCATTGTATTTTGAAAAAGGGATGGCTTACTACAAGCAGACACACACACATAAAACCAGTGTTTTCCAGGAATCTGGTAGCAAGCGGAAGAAAGGTAAAAATACTCAGAAATTGAATAGTGTGGGACTATTTAGAAAAGGGATCAATTTCCCCTTGTCCATAAATTGCCCAGTGTGGACCTCAGTGAGTTAATGAAGCATATTTAATAAGATTGAAAAATTTAAAATTTGGTTTAGGAAGATTTTAATCAAAAGAAAGATAATAAGGTTATCCAGAATGAAATATTTCCTAACATTCCAAGAAACAATGATCTTATTGTACTTACCTGGAGGAGGCAGCTCATAGCCCTCATAACTAATAACACAACATTGTGTTATTAGTTATGAGGGCTATGAGCTAGTTATATACTAACTCATTTACATTCACTGATAAGTCAACTATGAGGTTCCAACAATCAAATAAATTTCTAACAAAAGCATCTGAAATATTATGATTACTCAGCTCATTTACATATTTTGCTATTATGCTATGTAGTTTTTGACCAGATGGAGGCGATTATTTGTTCCTAAGTAAATAATTGTCCCTTTATTATTGAAAGGAGATGAATATTTTAAAGCAGTAAATACCATTACAAGATCATATGCTTTTTTATTATTATGGGGACATGATGCAATGATTCTGAGTGTCGTCACACAAATCACCCCTTCTTCCTCTGCTTTACTCCATACCCATTCCACCAAAACAGAAGTAGAAAATGGCACTAATCTAGAAAGAATTTGGGTGAATGAGTGTTGATGTCTTGAAAAGACAGACATACATCAGGTATTATGGAATAGAAAGGGTGATTTTACCAGAAAAAAGTGTCAAAGAGATTTTCTTTTGTACCTCAGTGTTCAACATATGACATAAAATTAGAAACTAATGATGTATATACTTTGCATTAAGAACCAAAATCAACCACATTTATTCCTTAGGACAAAAATACAAAGGATTCATCCCTCCACACTCCTTGATGAGTGTCTCTGTCCTCCACCCTTCACAAGTGTCAAGTGGAAAAGAAATATTTTGCTGGAGCATCTCAATCCAATAGTCAGGCAGCCAATCAAACCCCCTACTCCCAAAGCTAGTAATGCTCAGCCACTACTCATCACACACACAAACACACACACACACACACACACACACACACACACACACACACACCACTACACCATGTCACTTCAAGGAAGAACAAGCACCTAGTTTCCCTACATTAACATAACCATTACCTAAAATACCATAAATGACGCAACAATTCTTATTCTGTCCAGCACTTGTCATTTAACACATGTCAAAACAAAGCTATCTACATGTGATATTAAAAAGTCTATTCCTAAATATATAGCTTCTGTGTCACTTCTGTAAACTATTCATTTGTTTATCCCGCAAACATTTAGAGAGTATCTACCATATGCTACCTGCTGAGACACAACAATGAACAAGGAACACTCAATATCTGCCTCATCAAACTTCCATTCTGAAAATATAGACAGACAATAAACAAGTAAACAAATAAAAATAAAATAAAATATAAATAAGTAAAATAAAATAATTGCTACTAGTGCTAAAAGACAAGCAGGAAATAAAAAGGCAATGGTAGAGTAAATAATGATGGGAGTGGTATGTGTGTGATGGAGTATTTTAGAAAAGGTTCTGAGTTGGTGACGTTTTTCTAACTTTGAAAGTTTGAAGAAAAGCATTTTAGGAATAGAGAATAGTAAATGAAAAGGCCTTGTGTCACGAAAGACTTTCTAAGAACTGTAGAAGACCCACAACTGGTAGAAGCATAAGAACAAAATAAAGAGTTAGTCAAAGACCAAGTAATGTAGCCCACAATAATAAAATTGGATTTCCAATTTTCTTTCAATATGTTTTACAATAAAACTCGGTAGAATAGCTTAATACAATTTGCAATTTAGAAATATCACCCTGGCTGCTATGTGAATAAATCAGAGTAAGACAACATTACAAGAATATATATATATATATATATATATATATATATATATATATATATATATGGCTTAAACTAACAATACAGCAATAACTATTTGAAGAGAATAATAATTTGTTTAGAAAATATTTAGGAGATGCAACTCCAGGGTTTATCAATGGATCATATGTTGCTATTGTCATAGTACCAAAGGCAGCTGGAATTTGAACTCCACAATGGCAATTTAAAAATATTGTTTTCCTATCTTCTGTGTCTAAAATGAGGTTCATCCAGCCCATACCACGTCCTTAATAAAATTGGGCTAAATAAACTATACATACTTGGGTATGCACTGTAACACCCCAAGAAAAGCTGGGAATTGTACCAAAAAAACCCAAAGCAAGCAATTATGTTTATGGGAAATTCTTGGGGGAGATAAGCCACTCATGAAGATTGACTTAGGGCATTTTTTTCTAAGGTTGCCATTGAGGAGGGGATGACTATTCCAAATCAGTCCTTACTCTTAGAGCAGTGGTTGGATAAGTTCCTTAAGAAGATTTACTTCATCTTACATCCACCCACCTACTCCTCCTAAGCTTCTGCTCCTCTTTTAACAACATCTAGAAAATTCCCATTCTTAATCTACAGGGATGTAGTACCTAGAGGATGACTATGGAAATACCTAGGAGTACAGGTGCATTCCCTGTCGGTGAGTGAACTGTGAAATCTTCTCAAGAGAAGCAATGCTTTGGGAGAAAACAAGAATCTGCGTGATGTTGAGGTCGTGAGATCTTCCTCTATGACAGTTTCTTCATAGCAAAAGGAGGGATTTTAACTAGAATTTTAAGAAATGTTCTACCTCTAAAATCCTATGATTCCGTTAAAGTAAAAGTAGGTTGAGAGTAAAATTCTCAGAAAGGTAAATTAAGAATGATTTGGGTAGCAATAGGGAGAAACAGTGATATCATCACCATTGTGGATATATACAACACTTAGAAAGAATGAAAATTAATTTTCCTATTTTTAGGATATGGAGCTCACTTATTCTGTGGGATGGTGAGGAAGGAGTATACAGAAGCATCTTCACCATATAGATGGGTATAGGTAGCCAAGGGACCTCGAGTGTCATAAATAAACCAGTAGCAGAAAATATCAAGATGTAGTTATTACATTGATTTTCTGTATGCATTGTTGCCCACAGTAAACTAGGCAAGAAGAAACCATTAGGATAAGAGAAGGGCTGATCTCAATGAGACTATTTTGAAGATCATTTGCTGCTTATTTCTCTTTTAATATACTTTAATATATTATTATATTTAATAATACACTTTAATGTTATTAAATTATATTAAAATATATAGTATATACATTAACATTAAAGTATATTAAAATACTTATTTTATATACAACTATTAATATATTCTTTTAATTTACTTGAATATATTAAAGTATATTAAAATATATTTTATATATAATATAAATTATATATAAATATGTATATATCATATATTTACATATATTACATATTTATATATTATATATATTTGCAGCTTATTTCTCTTTTAATATACTTAGATATGGGGTGTCAGTGCTATCAACTGAAGAATGATGGGGTTCATAAATTTGGAAAGGAGGACCTTTATTTCTCATAGAGTTGTAGCCTGAAGGGTGGCTATTATGACAGGCTGGGAAATATAGCCTCTGGCCAGGAGCCAGAAACAAATATTTCGAGACAGTGACAAAAGGAATATGTACTGAGTGAGGTGGCCAAATACATATGCTCAATAAGCTATAGGAGGAATCTTGAATATTTATGAAAGGACAACCATGCACATGCACAATTGTGCTTCATGCCCCTTCATGAGTAGCATATAGTTGGTCTCTTATCAGGAAGGAATGCTGGTTAATTGCCATGTTAAAACCACAAAAAAAGAGGAACTGCTTCAGTGATTTGTTGATATCAGCAGTGGAGTCTTTCAAAAGAGCTGGTTTCTATTTAGCACTTAGGTAGGAAAGTCTAATGGTAGTTAAGTGAGGGCGGGGATGTAAGAAGGCACCTCTGACCGCCCATCTTGTCATGGATGAAAACTCAGCTTTTAAGGTTACTCTGGGGTGCCCTTGGCCAAGAGAGGGTCCATTCAGTAGCTTGGGGAGCTAAGGGTTTCATTTTTATTTTATTTCTCAGTGCCTTCATTCTAACCACAGCTAAGCACTTACTAGCTGTGTAATCCTGGGCAACTCACTTACCTCTGCCTCAGTGTGCCTCATTAGTGCAATGGAAATAATAACAGTACCTACTTCACAGGTATTGTAGTGATTAATGCATATAATGCTCCCCACATTTTTCCCAGACCCACAGTCCTGTTACATTGTTGATGTATCACTATTTTTAAATCCTTCAGCTATTCTCAGAAGCTTGTTTTCTAAAATGCCTGAAATTTTGTATGAATTTTGTATATATAAGTTCCATAAAAATGTCATATTTTTATGGCTCCCATAATAGTACTGTTTACACCCCCAGTACAAATTTTAACTCATTACATTGTAATTTTTCAGTTTGTATTTTGCAAAATATAACAGGAACTCTGAGCTCCTTGAGGTCATGGAGTATGTCTCATTTATATATCTACTGCCTAAAGTAGTTCCTAGCATGTTATGGTCTTCAATATGTGTTTGTTAAATGGATGGATGGATGGGATGATTACATGGATTTTTTATTGAATAAATAGATCAGTAGACTTTGACAAAAATTAAACACCACAACATCTAATTGTTTTTATTAATTCATTTCTTCTTTCCCTACTCTGCTACATAATTCCTAATTTTGCTTTTTGGAATCCTTTTTGTTAAAATACATATTTCACCCACATTTATTTCAAGTAAGAGTCTCTTTGCTTTTAAGTTTCTTTTTTGCTTTTCTATTTATTTTCAAAGTTTTTGCTACTACTAACACTAATCCCTTTGAAATGAAATATTTCAAGCCTCACCTTTCCCTTCCTCTTCACAGAGATCATCCTGAAGAACTATAAGAAGTAACTACCATGCCTATTCCAAAATTGACCACATAGTTGGAAGTAAAGCTCTCCTCAGCAAATGTAAAAGAACAGAAATTATAACAAACTATCTCTCAGACCACAGTGCAATCAAACTAGAACTCAGGATTAAGAATCTCACTCAAAGCCACTCAACTACATGGAAACTGAACAACCTGCTCCTGAATGACTACTGGGTACATAACGAAATGAAGGCAGAAATAAAGATGTTCTTTGAAACCAACGAGAACAAAGACACAACATACCAGAATCTCTGGGACGCATTCAAAGCAGTGTGTAGAGGGAAATTTATAGCACTAAATGCCCACAAGAGAAAGCAGGAAAGATCCAAAATTGACACCCTAACATCACAATTAAAAGAACTAGAAAAGCAAGAGCAAACACATTCAAAAGCTAGCAGAAGGCAAGAAATAACTAAAATCAGAGCAGAACTGAAGGAAATAGAGACACAAAAAACCCTTCAAAAAATCAACGAATCCAGGAGCTGGTTTTTTGAAAGGATCAACAAAATTGATAGACCGCTAGCAAGACTAATAAAGAAAAAAAGAGAGAAGAATCAAATAGACACAATAAAAAATGATAAAGGGGATATCACCACCGATCCCACAGACATACAAACTACCATCAGAGAATACTACAAACACCTCTACGCAAATAAACTAGAAAATCTAGAAGAAATGGATAAATTCCTCGACACATACACTCTCCCAAGACTAAACCAGGAAGAAGTTGAATCTCTGAATAGACCAACAACAGGAGCTGAAATTGTGGCAATAATCAATAGCTTACCAACCAAAAAGAGTCCAGGACCAGATGGATTCACAGCCGAATTCTACCAGAGGTACAAGGAAGAACTGGTACCATTCCTTCTGAAACTATTCCAATCAATAGAAAAAGAGGGAATCCTTCCTAACTCATTTTATGAGGCCAGCATCATTCTGATACCAAAGCCGGGCAGAGACACAACCAAAAAAGAGAATTTTAGACCAATATCCTTGATGAACATTGAGGCAAAAATCCTCAATAAAATACTGGCAAACCGAATCCAGCAGCACATCAAAAAGCTTATCCACCATGATCAAGGGGGCTTCATCCCTGGGATGCAAGGCTGGTTCAGTATACGCAAATCAATAAATGTAATCCAGCATATAAACAGAACCAAAGACAAAAACCACATGATTATCTCAATAGATGCAGAAAAAGCCTTTGACAAAATTCAACAACCCTTCATGCTAAAAACTCTCAAGAAATTAGGTATTGATGGGACGTATTTCAAAATAATAAGAGCTATCTATGACAAACCCACAGCCAATATCATACTGAATGGGCAAAAACTGGAAGCATTCCCTTTGAAAACTGGCACAAGACAGGGATGCCCTCTCTCACCACTCCTATTCAACATAGTGTTGGAAGTTCTGGCCAGGGCAATTAGGCAAGAGAAGGAAATAAAGGGTATCCAATTAGGAAAAGAGGAAGTCAAATTGTCCCTGTTTGCAGACGACATGATTGTATATCTAGAAAACCCCATTGTCTCAGCCCAAAATCTCCTTAAGCTGATAAGCAACTTCAGCAAAGTCTCAGGATACAAAATCAATGTACAAAAATCACAAGCATTCTTATACACCAACAACAGACAAACAGAGAGCCAAATCATGAGTGAACTCCCATTCACAATTGCTTCAAAGAGAATAAAATACCTAGGAATCCAACTTACAAGGGATGTGAAGGACCTCTTCAAGGAGAACTACAAACCACTGCTCAAGGAAATAAAAGAGGATACAAACAAATGGAAGAACATTTCATGCTCATGGGTAGGAAGAATCAATATCGTGAAAATGGCCATACTGCCCAAGGTAATTTACAGATTCAATGCCATCCCCATCAAGCTACCAATGACTTTCTTCACAGAATTGGAAAAAACTATAAAGTTCATATGGAACCAAAAAAGAGCCCGCATTGCCAAGTCAATCCTAAGCCAAAAGAACAAAGCTGGAGGCATCACACTACCTGACTTCAAACTATGCTACAAGGCTACAGTAACCAAAACAGCATGGTATTGGTACCAAAACAGAGATATAGATCAATGGAACAGAACAGAGCCCTCAGAAATAATGCCGCGTACCTACAACTATCTGATCTTTGACAAACCTGAGAAAAACAAGCAATGGGGAAAGGATTCCCTATTTAATAAATGGTGCTGGGAAAACTGGCTAGCCATATGTAGGAAGCTGAAACTGGATCCCTTCCTTACACCTTATACAAAAATCAATTCAAGATGGATTAAAGATTTAAACGTTAGACCTAAAACCATAAAAACCCTAGAAGAAAACCTAGGCATTACCATTCAGGACATAGGCATGGGCAAGGACTTCATGTCCAAAACACCAAAAGCAATGGCAACAAAAGCCAAAATTGACAAATGGGATCTAATTAAACTAAAGAGCTTCTGCACAGCAAAAGAAACTACCATCAGAATGAACAGGCAACCTACAAAATGGGAGAAAATTTTTGCAACCTACTCATCTGACAAAGGGCTAATATCCAGAATCTACAATGAACTCAAACAAATTTACAAGAAAAAAACAAACAACCCCATCAAAAAGTGGGCGAAGGACATGAACAGACACTTCTCAAAAGAAGACATTTATGCAGCCAAAAAACACATGAAAAAATGCTCATCATCACTGGCCATCAGAGAAATGCAAATCAAAACCACAATGAGATACCATCTCACACCAGTTAGAATGGCAATCATTAAAAAGTCAGGAAACAACAGGTGCTGGAGAGGATGTGGAGAAATAGGAACACTTTTACACTGTTGGTGGGACTGTAAACTAGTTCATCCATTGTGGAAGTCAGTGTGGCGATTCCTCAGGGATCTAGAACTAGAAATACCATTTGACCCAGCCATCCCATTACTGGGTATATACCCAAATGACTATAAATTATGCTGCTATAAAGACACATGCACACGTATGTTTATTGCGGCATTATTCACAATAGCAAAGACTTGGAACCAACCCAAATGTCCAACAATGATAGACTGGATTAAGAAAATGTGGTACATATACACCATAGAATACTATGCAGCCACAAAAAATGATGAGTTCATATCCTTTGTAGGGACATGGATGAAACTGGAAATCATCATTCTCAGTAAACTATCGCAAGAACAAAAAAGCAAACACCGCATATTCTCACTCATAGGTGGGAATTGAACAATGAGATCACATGGACACAGGAAGGGGAATATCACACTCTGGGGACTGTGGTGGGGTGGGGGGAGGGGGGAGGGATAGCACTGGGAGATATACCTAATGCTAGATGACGAGTTAGTGGGTGCAGGGCACCAGCATGGCACATGTATACATATGTAACTAACCTGCACAATGTGCACATGTACCCTAAAACTTAAAGTATAAAAAAATAAAATAAAATAAAAATAAAAAGAAGTAACTAAAGATCTTGGGGTTTTCCTGTCTTTCTTCCAGGAGTAAAAGGATTCAAAATTTTGGACGTTTATTTTAATAATCTGTCACGCTCTGAAGACCCATAAATCAAAACAGCCTTCTCTGAGCTTGCTTAGAAATGATTCATCCTATGAGTATAAAATGATGAAGCTGTCTCTTCAATGCCCTGCTCAACCCTGACTTTAAAATGCTTTAATTATTGAGACCAAGGCTGAAAAGAAACAATTTGTCCACCCACTCCACAGCTAAAACCTACTCTATACTATCATCACAGTTCCCTAAGACATTTCCTTACATGCTGCTTTCTGTTTCTTACCACTGATCTCTGAGCATTTTACATAGTTATTCCCATCATTATTATCTGTCCTACTGTCTCAAAAATAGGATGGTTTATGTAAATGTTATAACAACATTCCACCTACCAATTACTGTGACAGTCTTGGTGCCTTCAGGAACTATGGGGAGGAGGTAGAAGAAGCCTCTTCCACCACCCGCAGTGGAGGACTTTATCCTGGGTACATGTTGGTATGCATCAGTTTCTGCCCTGATGTAACAGTAAACTAACTAGCAGCATGAGCTGTAACTACAAAAATCAATCCTCTGGAGGCCAGGAGAAGCCAGGTAGGAACATAAGCCCTGAGGGAATAATTTAAAAGTTGATTTGCACTTCATCCAAAGAGCACAGAAACACAACTTTTGAGTTTCACAGAAGAAGTAAGAAAAATGGCGAATTTCCCAGGATTAGGGGTGGAAAATGCTACGATGTACAATATGTGCTCTCTAGAGTATGACGTGCATTTTCAATTCTATTGTCCCAGAGGACACAATAAGTTGTGCTGGAACAACTGGTTAACCAGATTTTTTAAAAGAATTATATTTTATAACTTATACTTAACATAAATTGCAAAGGAGTAATTTTTTTAATTACTAGAAACATAGAGAGACTATTTAAATTATTTTGGAATAAATAAAAACTTTTAAGTATATCCTGCCCCTATGAAGGAAAAACAATAAGAAAAGAGTTATAGCATATTTGATAATGAAATTTAAAATTTATCAATGGCAAACACAAATATAGGGGAAAATGTTAGAAATTAAAACAATTTAAAATTACTAGAAAATAAAGACAAATTTAACAGGCAAATAATGAACAGAAAAAAATAAATTGAAATAACTCCATTATATAAGAAGCACTTAAAAATCAGTCATACTATGGCAAAAATAATAATGATAATAATGCAATTTCAAAGTGGGTGAAAAACTTGAAGACATTTCTCAGAGGAAATACACAAATGGCCAACAGGTATAAGCAAATATGTTCAGCATCACTAGTTGTTAAGGAAATGCATATCCAAACACCAATGAGATATTGCCTCATGCCTATTAGCATGGCTATTATCAAAAAACAAAAGAAGTGTTGGCTAGAATTTAGGGAATTGAAACTCCTATACACTTTTGGTGGAAATAGAAAATGGTGCAGTCACTATGAAAAATAATGTGTCAGTTCCTCAAAACATTAAAAACAAAATTATTATATGATTCAGCAATCCCACTTTTAGGAATATGTCCAAAAGAATTGAAATCAGAACCTCAAAGAGATACCTTCACACCCATGTTTACTACAGCATTATTCACAAAAGCCAAGATATGGAAACAGCCTAAAAGTCCATAGACAGATGAACAAAGAAAATGTGTTAGACATCAGCTAGAATGGCAGAGTAGGTGATCTCAGTCTTTATTCCTCCTAAAGGAACAACAACTGGGTAAATATCCACAAATGAAAATATCTAGCAGAGATCAGGAATCTACTTCAGAAGTTAAAACAACAGAGCAGACAGAAAAACTTCAAGAAAAAACACAAAAAAATGGTAGAAAAAACAGTTTCATTTTGCCTGCGTCATCTTCCTCAGGCTGGCAGTGCTCAGTATGGAGAGGTCACTGCTCAGCTTGCAAGTTCCCCTTGCAGAGAAAAGGAGAGTGGAGTGAACCATCTTACCCAGCCTACTGGAGCATTGCCCAAACAACCAGCTTAAGTTTCACCCATCCCAGATTGCTAGGGAGACCAACATAGGAGAGAAATCTGTAAACTGCTGGTAAGAAAGAGAAATGATGAGGTCTATCAGTATCAGTCCTGTGGTAGGAATCAATGCAGTCCCCAGTAGCCTGATCTGAGCGGAATTCTGGTAGCCTTCTATACCAAGGACCTCAACAGCCCTCATGGATGTGACACAGGATTCTTTGAGGGCCACTTTGCCAAGTGGAAATCTCGATGGCCAGCAGAGCCTCTGCTGAGGCTTCACTCAGGCCCTCTGAGCTCGTCCTGCTCATTTGGCCTGGCAGGCTGTGCTCCACTCATGCTCACTCACCCAGATGCCATGACACCCACCGTAGCTCAGTGCTCAGCCCACGGTTGGTTTGGGCATGCTATGACTGACTTCTGCCTTGAGCGCTGGCATCTGGATAAGGGGGATGCAGCAGTGCCCAAAAACTCAGAGATGCCAGCAACTGTGGAGCCCGAAGAGGTGTTACAGCTTTTGCTCTGGGAGTCAAGGTCTGAGCCCCCAGGAAGTGTTACAGCTCTTGTTCGTTCTCACTGCTGGCAGTTTCAGCAAATGGGGATGTGTCACAGCTCATTCAGTCCTGCTGCCCACAGCTCAGCAATTGGGGACTTGTGGCACCCAGCATTTTTTTTTCACTTCTGTAGCTTGGTGAACAGGAGGTGTATCTTACAGCTCTTTTCGCACCCACTGTTCAGTGGATCCTGGATTCTTGTCCTGCAACCAACAGGAATGAAGCATGCAGACACCGCAGAGTGAGCAAGGCTGATGAGATTTTTATTGAGCAGCAGAAAAGCTCTTGACAACAAGAGAGTAGCCAAAGTGGGCAGCCCTCTGTGTAAGAGTGGGGCTGAAAGCAGAGAGCCATCTGTGAGGCTGAGTCTGGGGTTTTTATGGGCTCAGAATGGAGGAATCTGTGCTGATTGGTTCATGGGCAGGCCTGGAAAAAGCACCATTTAATTGACTAAAAGGCACTGAGGAAGTTCTCAGTTGGGTCGTGGACTCCACCTGGAACTGGCGGCTTGGTTTTCAGGCCTCAGGTTGTCTTTGGCTTGAAGGTTGGGATTCACCAGGGACTTATCCCTGTCTGCCTAGGAATCTGTCTGTCTCCTGTCATTATCAGCTGCACATACCACACTGCTTTTACTACCAAGGAACCCACAATTATCATTGCACAAACTATAGTATTTAACTCCACAGAGGACTCCAGCAGGTTTAGTCACTGACAAAATCAACACCCAAAGATCACAAAGAAGCAGGAAAACATGACACCACCAAAGGAACAAAATTAATTTCTAGTAACCAACCCCAAAGAATTGGAGATCTATAAATTGCCTGGAAAAAATCAAAATAATTGCCTAAGGAATCTTGGGGAACTACAAGAGAACACAAATAAATAGTTTAATGAAATCAGGAAGACAATCCAAGAACAAAATGAGAAGCTCAATAAAGAGACAGAAAATATTTTAAAAAGAACCAAACAGAAATGTTGGAGCTGAAAAATACAACAGCTAAACTAAAAAAATGTAATAGAGGCTTGAACATCAGACTAAGTGAAGCAGAATAAAAAAATAAGTGAACTCAAAGACCGAGCATTTTAAATCATCCAGTAAGTGGAGATAAAAGAAAAAAAAGAATAAAACCTACAGAAGCCATGGAATACTATCAAGAGAGCTAACATTAGAATTATAGTAGGTTCAGAAGAAAAATAGAGAGAGCATTAGATAGAAAGCTTATTTAAGGAAATAATCATAGGAAACTTAGCAAATGTCAGGAAAGAAATGAGCATCCAGATGCATGAAGCCTAAAGTTCTCCAGTCAATTCAACCAAAAAAAGAATCCACAAACATACATTATCATCAACCTGGCAAAAATCAAAAACAAAGAGAGAAGCTTGTAAGCAGCAAGAGAAAAGAATCATGTCATATAAAAAAGGACCCAAATAAAGCTATCAGTGGATTTCTCAGCAGGAACCTTGAGGATCAGGAGAGAATGAAATAATATATTCAAAGCAATGGAAGAAAAATAAAACTGCCAACCAGCAATATTTTGCCAGCAAAGCTGTCCTTCAGAAATGAAGAAGATAAAGACTTTTTTAGAAAAAAAAAAAGAAAAGTTGAGTGAGTCTTCACTATTGCTTGCCTTACAAGAAATGCTAAAGGGGGATTTTTAAGATTAAATAAAAGGCAGCTAATTAGTAACATTAAAACATATAAAAATATAAAACTAACTGGTAAAGTATATATATGGTTAAATTTAGAATATTCAAGCACCATAATGGTGGTGGTGTAAATCACAACATCATTATAAAGTTATAAGATGAATGTATGAAAAATGACTATAGCTATAATAAATTCTTAAGACATATAAAAAATGTAAACTGTAACATCAAAAGCACAATGTAAGAGAAGGGAAGTAAAAGTACAGAGCTTCTTTAGCAATCAAAGTGAAGATGTTATCGTCTTTAAGTGAATTGGTAAAACAATAAGAATATTTATGTAAGCCTCATGGCAACCACAAATTAAAAACCTATAGTAAATACACAAAAGATAAACAGAAAAGAATCAAAGCATACCACCGAGGAAAATGATCAAATCACAAAGGAAAACAACAAAGGAGTAATAAAGGAATAAAGGACCTACAAAGCAACCAGAAAACAATAAATTGACAATAATAAATCTTTACTTACCAACTATAAATAAGCAAATTTTGTCAATCAAAAGACAAAAAGTGGCTGAATTGATTTATAAAAATAAGATCCAACTAAATGCTGCCTACAAGAAACTCACTTCACCTTTAATAACACACATAGACTAAAAGTAAAGGGATAAAAAACAAAAATATTCCATGAAAATGAAAACCAAAAAAGAGCAGTAGCAGTTACATGTGTATCACACAAAATAGACTTTAAATACTGTCACAAGAGACAAAGAAGGTCATTAGATATTGGTAAGAAAGTCAATTCATCAAGATAATAGAACAGTTATAAATATGAATACACCCAACATCAGAGCACCTAAATATATAAAGCAAATATTAACAAATCTAAAGCAAGAGATAGACTGCAATGCAATATTAATAGAGAACTTTAATATCTGATTTTCAACAATGGATAAATCATCCAGAAAGAATATTATTAAGAAAACATTGTCTTGAACTACTTCAGACTAAATGAATCTAATAGACATACACGGAATATTTGATCCAACAGCAGAACACACATTCTTCTCAAGCTTACACAGAATATTCTCCTGGACAGATTGTATGTTAAGCCACAAACAAGTCTTAACAAATTTCAGAAGACTGAAATCATATCAAATATATTTTCTGACCATAGTGGTATGAAACTAAAATCAATAATAACAGGAAAACTGGAAAATTCATGTACATATGGAAATTAAACAACCACCAATGGGCCAAAAAAAGAAGTCAAAAGGTAAATGTAAAAATATCTTGAGACACATGAAAATGGACATGACATACAAAAAGGTATGGGATGCAGCAAAAGTAGTTTTAAGGGAGAAATGTATAGTAATAAATGTTTACAAAAAAAAGACGAAAGGTCTCAAATTAACAACCTAACATTACAGCTCAATGAACTAAAAAAAGAACAAACTAAGCCTAAAGTTAGAAAAAAAGGACATAACAAAGATTAGAAAAGAAATCAATGAAAGTGAGACTAGAGAAACAGTAGAAAAGATCATGAAACTAAGATTGATTTTTGGAAATATAAGTAAAATCAACAATACTTGATCTACACTGAGAAAAAATAGACTTAAATAAATAAAAGCCAAAATGAAAAAGGAAACATTACAACTGATGCTACAAAAAATATAAAGAATCATAAGATAATACTATGAACCATTACAAGTCAAAAGATTGGATAGCCTAGAAGAAATGGATAAATTCCTAGACACATACAGCCTACAAGACTGAATCATGAAGAGCTAGAAAATCTTAACAGTAATGAGTAAGGAGATTGAATCAATAATAAAATCTCCTATCAAAGAAAATCCTAGGACCTGATGGCTTCATAGTTGAATTCTACCAAATATTTTGAAAAGAACTAATACCTATCCTTCTAAAATCCTTCCAAAAAGTTGAAGAGGAGGGGATATTTTAAAACTCATTTTACAATGCCAACGCTGCCTTCATACCAAACCCAGATAAGGACACCAACAAGAAATATAGATTATAGGCCAATGTCCCTTGTGAACAAAGGTCCAACAATCCTCAACAAACTACTGGCAAACCAAATATACCAGGACATTAAAAAGATTTTGCATCACGACAAAGTAGGATTTATTCCTGGGATGTAAGAATTATCCAACATACACAATCAACAAATGTGCTACACCACATTAACAGAATAAGAAATAAAAACCATGAGATCATCTAAACAAATGCAGAAAAATCATTTGACAAAATTCAACATTCTTTCACAATACAAAATTTTCAACAAATTATAGGAATGTACCTCAACACAATAAAGCCTGTATATCACAAGCCTATGATAAACATTATACTCGATGAGAAATTGAAATGTTTCCCTCTAAGATCAAGAACAAGACCACTCTCCCCACTTCCATTCAACATAGTACTGGACGTCATAACCAAAGTAATTAGGAAAAAGAAATAAAGTGCATCCAAATAAAAAAGTTAGTGTCTCTGTTAGAAGATGGCATGATCCTATGTAGAAAGAATCCTGAAGACTCCACTAAAAAACTGTTAGAACTAATAAGCAAATTCAGTAATTTTGCAGACTACAAAATCAACAGAAAAATTCAGTTGCATTTCTTTACACCAATAATGATCTATAGAAAGAAAAAGTCAAGAAAAAGTTATCATTATGAGCACATCAAAAAGAATAAAATACTTACAAATAAATTTAACTAAAGAGGTAGAATATCTGTACACTGAAAAGTATAAAAGATTAATGAAATAAATTGTGGAAGACAAAAATAAGTGAAACATATCCCATATTCATGAACTGGAAGAATTAATATTGTTAAAAAGTCCATACTACTGAAAATGATCTGTACATTCAACGCAATCCCGATCAAAATGGCAATGAACATTTTTCACAGCAATGGAAAAAATAATTCTGAAATTCATATGCAACCATAAAAGAGCATGAAAAGCTTAAGCAATCTTGAGTATAAGTTCAAAGCTAGAGGTATTAAACTTCCTGATTTCAACTCCATTACAAAACTGTAATAATCAAAACAGATGTTGCTGGCATAAAAACATGTATACCAATAAAACAGAATAGAAAGCTCAGAACTAAACTCACATACCTACAGTCAGCTAATTTTTTCAACTAAGGTACCAAGAATATACAATGTAAAGGACAGACTCGTCTATAAATGATGTTGGGAAATTGGATATCCACATGCAAAGAATCCGTGCTTCTCTTATTCCAATCACAAAAGTTAATTCAAAGTGGATTATAGACTTAACATAAGACCCGGCCCCATAAACTCCTAGGAGGAAACATGGGGAAAAGTTCCTGGACATTGGTCTCATCTTTATTTGTTTGATGAAAGAGAAATCTACAGAAAGGGAGAAAATATTTGTATACCACACATCCAATAAGGAGTTAATATCCAAAATATATACAGAACTTATACTACCAAATAGCAAACAAACAAGCTTCTAAATGGGCAAAAGATATTTTTAAAATGATTTCATAAAATGGGCAAAGGATCTGAATAGATATTTTTCCAAAGAAGATACACAAATGGCCAACAGGTATATGGAAAAAATGCTCAAAATCAGAAATCATCAAGGCAAATCAAAACCTCACTGAGATATCACCAACCACCTGTTAGATTGCCTTTTATCAAAAAGTCCAGTGATAGCATGTGTTGGCAAGGATGTAAAGGAAACCTGATATGGTTTGGCTGTGTCCCCACCCAAATCCCATCTTGAATTATAGTTCCCGTAGTCCTCACATGTCATGGGAGAGACCCAGTGAAAGGTAATTGAATCATGGGGGCAGTTTTCTCATGCTATTCTTGTGATAGTGAGTAAGTTCTTACAAGATCTGATGACTTTACCTGGGGCTTTATCCTTTACTCAGTTCTCAGTCTTCTCTCTCTTGCCACCATGTGAAGAAAGACATGTTTGCTTCCTCTTCCACCATGACTGTGACTATAAGTTTCCTGAGGCCTTCCCAGCCATGCTGAAATGTGGGTCAGTTAAACCTCTTTCCTATATAAATTACCTAGTCTCAGATATGTCTTTATTAGCAGTGTGAGAACGGACTAATACAAAACCCTTGTAAACTTTTGGTAGAGATATAAATTAGTGCAACCATTATTGAAGACAGTATGTAGGCTCCTCAAAAAAAAAATAAACTTCTCATATAATAACAGCAATCCCACTTCTAGGTATGTATGCAAAAGAAATAAAACCACTATCTTAAAGAGATATCTGCACTCTCAAATTCACTGCAGCATTGTAACACTAGCCAAGATATAGAAACAAACTAAGTGTTCATCTACAGATGCATAGATTTTTTTAATGTGGTACAAACACACACAATGGATTATTCAGCCTTAAAAAGAAGGAAATCCTGCCATTTGCCACATGGATAAACCTGGAGGACATTATGCTAAGTGCAATAAGCCAGATACATAACGACAAATACTACATGATATCCCATACAGGTGCAATATTTTAAAAAATCAAACTCATAGCAATGGACAGTAGAGTGGTGGTTAGCAGGGGCTGGGAAATGCCAGGAAAAAGATGTTGGTCAAAGGGTACAAACTTTCAGCTACAAGATGAGTAAGTACTGGAGACCAAATGTACAGTAGCTTCAAATTTGCTAAGAAAGTAGATCTCAAGTGTTAACACACACACATACACACATTATACACAAATGGTAATGATGTAACATGATGAATATATTAATTAGCTTGGTTGTGGTAATCATTTCGTAAGTATGCATATACCCTAAATATATGCAAATTTTATTTGTAAATCATACCTCAATAAAGCCTGAGAAAATTGTAGTATATATATGCAATGGAGTATTATTCAGCCTTTAAAAAGCAACTTACAGAAGGACAAATACTGCATGATCTCACTTATGTGTGGAATCTAAAATACTCAAACTGAAGGTAGGATGGCGGTTGCCAAGAGTGGAAAGGAAAGGGAGAAATGAGGAGATAATGGACTAAAGGTTACAAAGTTTCAGTTATGCAAAAATGAGTGAGTTCTGGAGAGTTAATGCACAACATGGTGTCTGTATTACAATGCAATACTGTATTGGACAACTGAAATGTACTAAGGGAGTAGATCTTAAGGGTTCACACCACACACAGAAAAACATAACCCTGTGAGGTAATGGATATGTTAATTATCTTAAGTGTGATGATCATTTCACAGTGTACACGTAGTTCAAAACATCAAGTTGCACATTTAAATATGTATGATTCTTATTTGTCAAATATACTTCAATAAAACTGGAAAAGGGGAATGAAGGAGAATAAGCTAGACCATGTGGCCACATGCTGGTTGACCTCCCACTGAAGGTCATTCCTCCTTTCAAATGGCTATCATAAATATCTCTTTTTGGGGTTTCTGTATTTCCTCCCTCTCTCAGTCCCTTCAGGCACAATGGTGTAAACAGCTCCACCCCATCTTACCCCTGGCCTGTGTGGTACTCTATACCTATAAATTCATAGACAGCATCTCGTTAAATAAATGTTTATCAAATTATCCTATATTAAGTGTGTCATTAACTTCCTGTTGGAACTCTAAATGATATAATTTTCTATAAATGTATCCTTCCTTGAGTGTATCAACTTGTTTCATCTTATTGACTGTACCTTTACAACTAAGATGCTTCAATATATTAGATAATATAAATTTTCACCCTCTCCTTTCTGTTTTATGAACCTGGAGGGCTTCCATCTTCTGCTTTCATCCATTTCTGTTGTCTCCTATGCCTACTGTACATCTGTCATCTTAAAAGTGCCTTTTGATCCCTTCGTAGTTCATAAGCGTGATGACTGAGTTTTTGCACTCCTGTGTGAAATGTACCTCCCTCAAACCTTATGACATATATACATTACCTGACTCACATGAAGAAAGAAAAAAGAGATTGGGATTTTTTTTAAAGTGGCTTTAGCCACCCTGCATTGCATATATTAGTTTATTGATCTCATTTCTTCCTCTTGTTTTGCTGGGATATATTATCCCACACTTTCAAAAAAAGAGAGTACTTATGAAGTAAACTTTATAAATTTTTGTATGATTAAATATGCTTTATTCTATCTTCCTGATAGATTTGTTCTGTATAGAATTCTAGCCTGAAAATCAGTGTGAGAAACTTTTCCACTGTATTCTAAGGATGAGCTTGCTACAGAGCATACTCATGCCATTTGAATTTCTGTTCATTCGTGAGCTATATGGTTTTTTCTTAATAATTTTACAATATTTTCAATCGTTAAGGTGATAAAATTTCATAATAACGTGCCTTGGGATTTTTTTTAAATCTTGTGGTGGGCATTCAGTAAATCTTTCATATCGAGAAAATTAAGCTTTTCTGTTCTAAGAAATTTATTTTCATTGTTTCTTTTAAATCCATCCTTCTGTTTAATTTGTCCTCCTGGAATATGTGTGAGTTGAATGGTTTGCCCCTAACTTGATTCCTTGTGTTTCTTGTTTTTATCTTTCATGTTTTCTATTTCTTTGACATTTTCATTCTACTTTCATAGAGACTGTACTTTTATGACTTCTTTGACTACTTGTTTTATTTCTTTTAATGCCATATTAATTTTGTTTATTGTTCTTTTTGATTTTACCTTCCAAAAATAATTTTTCTATATTTTTTCAGTACATCATATTCTTATTTCAAGATTACAAATATTTTCTTTCATTGATGAGAAGATACAGTTTTTTACAGTCCCCCCCCCCCCCCCCACGAATTACCTCTAATTCCACCAGTTTCCTTTTGGCTTTTTTAAAGACTTACTTTTTTCTTTTTTTCAAAAGCCTTATGTAAATTTTAGATTGATCTCTTAAGCCAGCTTACTAACTGGCAGACTTCTGGTCAGGGTTCCAGTAGAAAGGTAGCCATTTCATTTGTAATCTCCAAAGGCAGATGTGACATTAACATTCAGTTTCTTAAACAAAGGTGCCAATGTTCTGTCTGTGACTCAGATGCTACCGTTAGCATCTGGGAGCAGAAAGAGAGGATAGAAGATTGAACTGTTCCTTTCTCTTAATCTTCATTAGCAGCCCTGAACCTCACCTCCCGCTGACCTGGCATCCTGCATCCCAATCATCGTAGGGATTCCAGGAAATGAATCTCTCCCCTTTTCCTCACTATTCCTCTTGTTGGGAGTTTAGACTTAGCCTTCCCGACCCTGCCAAATCAGTTACTACTTTTTTGTCTTACCTCTTCCAAACTTTTGTTGAAATCTCTTCTCTGCATCTAACTCCTGTCCTGTTTCTTTGTTCCTGTGGGTCTCAGCCATTTTTTTCTTACTGCAAGTGTTGTTATTTTTATTATTAATACTTTGCTCTTAGGAGGGAAAAGGAAACCTAATGTATTCTATCATTTTTAATATAATTTGTGGGTTTGTTGTCTATCTTAAAAAATCAGGAGTTTAAAAAAAGGATAGAATGACCCTTTTGCAAAGGGAAAGTAATATGAAAATAACTATAAGGACATGCAATAACTATAAAGAAATTTTAATAATCAAAATGTTAATGGTGATCATGTATGAGAGGGCTGGAGTAGACAAACCATTTTAAAGACTTTTCAAAAGTCCCACCAACCAACTACTATTAACATCAGATTGTCCACTGGGCTTCAAAAGGAATATCTTTTTCTTATAAGGTCATTCTAAATTATTGAATTGAATTTTAAAAGAGCCTGAGGCAAGTCAATGCAATATTTTAGTTGGGCCACCATGAATAATGTCAGGTCCCCATTACTAAGGAAAAAAATAGAAATTGGAGTTACAATCAACAGATTTTGACAAGTACCTACTGTGCAAGCCCCTCTAGTCCATACATGAAGAGTAGAAAAGAATATACATCATTTGTATTCTTCATAAGTTGTAGATCTCAGATAAAAATCCACTAAAAAAGAGAAAAAGGTAAGTGATATTTTATAAATTGCATACAGGATTGCTTAAGGCATATAGAAAATAAATGTTGAACAAAAATAATCAGGGCAGAATTCTTGAACAACATCAGTCATGAGACAAGATCTAAGAAAATTTCTTAGAAGAAAAATGCCTTTTCCAGAATACTGAGAATACTTAACTATTTTTCAACTTTACTAAGAATACCACAAGAAGAAAATGTGCTTATTCCATTTTGTTGTTTTAAGGAACTGAAGACAAGTTCAACTAAAAATTTATAATAGAATTACATCTCCTTAGTCATTTCAATGGTACAAATACCAACTCATTTTAGTTGCTTTAATCTAGTCTGTTTTTATTGGCAAAAAAGTAAGATTTCTTTCAGTAAAGATAGTATTATAGTAATGGGTAGAAGAGTATTCAAATTCTCCAAGAGGGTCTTTGAAGAAATTGCTGTCCACCTCAAAATATGTAAAGTTCTATTTTTTTTTTTCCTGCACAGAAACCATCCTTTGGGCAATTTGTTGATTTATACTAACCCTCTTCATTATAGGAAGTATGTATTTCTATGTCTGCATTTGTTGTATTGTATTGTAATTATCTCCTTGCAAATCTGTTTCCCTGACTAGATTTTGCAATATGTATAAGAAAAGACTAGAGAAGGACGAAAAAGAAAACAAAAGAAGGAGGGAAAAGGTGCAGCTTCTGGTAAATTAGACCTCTTTTTTGAAGAGACATGATATGGTGAGAAGATATGATCAGGGATATCTTTCTCTTATAACCCCACTCTAAATTACTGAATGGTAGCTTAAGAGAGTTTGATGTGAATAGAAGGGATTTAACGAGGTTAAATGAGATATTGAGTAGGAGTGTTAACTCTTGTACTCTAGAAGAGAGAATAAACCTTGCCAAGTATGGAAAGGTTTAAGTTTAGCCCGTCTAAAATAGCCTCAAATTATTTCCTGTTAGACAAAATATAAAAGCTGCATTTTAGGAACTGTTTTTTTAATTATTAGTAAATTAGGGATCATTGAAGGTATCCACTAATTCAGTGATTTTGCAATTCTGACAAACTATCCTCTCTGCTTTTCCTTCAAGGAGATCTTGCTACTCCATAGCCACCTCATGGCATTCTTTACTCCTCATTCCTCAGAGTATAGATGAGTGGGTTCAGCATTGGGGTGATGGTGGTATAGAACACAGACACAGCTTTATCCAATGGGAAAGTAGTGGATGGAGATAAATAAAGATACACGGAACAAAGAAGAAAGTTACTATAGTCAGATGAGATCCACAGGTAGAGAGAACTTTGTGTCAGCTCTCTGCAGACTGTTTTTGAAGACTAAACAGAATGACTGTGTAGGAGGCCAAAAGAATGAGGAAACACCCCAGGGAGATGAGACCACTGTTGGCAACCACCAACATATTTACCAGAGTTGTATCAGCACAGGCAAGTTTTAGGACTGGGTGGACATCACAAAAGTAATGGTCTATAACCTGAGCATTACAGAAGGGCAGCTGGAAGGTCAGGAGGGTCTGAACAAAGGAATGACCCAGGGCCCCCAACCAGGACAGTGATGCCAGCACAGTATAAGCATTAGCACTCATGATGACAGTGTAACGGAGGGATTGGCAGATAGCAGCATAGCGATCAAAAGCCATGACAGTCAAAACAAAAATCTCAGCACAACCAAAAAAGTGGAAGGTAAACATCTGAGTTATACAGCCCCAGTAGGAAATAGTCTTTTTCTCAGAAACAAAGTCTTCAATCATCTTGGGTGCTGTGGCTGAGGAATAGGCAATGTCCACAAAAGACAGGTTACTGAGGAAGAAATACATGGGTGTGTGTAGTCGGGAGTCAGAAAAGACCATAAGCAAAATGAGCAAATTTCCCACCATGATCACGACGTAGAAGAGGAGAAATAAGACAAAGAACATCAATTGCATTCCAGAATCTTGGGAAAGTCCCAGGAATATAAACTCAGTGACATTGTTGGCCACTTTCATGGGGCCCCAGGCAGGACTCGTGGAGTGACTCTGGTTCTCTGCAAAAATAAACACGTTATAAACCATGGTAAGCATAGTAAAGCCTATCAGTAAGAGTCTTGTGAAAACACCTATATGATGTTAAATATGGTAGAGGAAGTTCTTCATATTTCTTGAACATAGTTCATGAATATTTTTCTTGTCTTTAGCTTGATTTCCACACTATTGACTCACATTTGAATTTCTTTCATAATTAGTCTTATAGTTCCTCTTTTCCATACAAGAACCTAGAGAATCTGAGTCTTTTTTATTGAATTTAATGTTTTTCCCTAATCAGTGCTCTCTCTCCCCCCACCTCCAACTTCTCTTGTCAGAAATTTACTTTGGAGTGAGAACTTTGTTTAAATAAATTAATTAATTTTTTGAGGCTGTAAATAAAAGCATGAAGTCAGAGTATAAGATCTGATGTATAAAATTTCAGAATCCTTCAAATATAATGTATGCTACTCACCTATAGAAAAGTAACATTTTATTTAATCAAGAGAGGAAGACTCAGTTTCCAATTTCTCAATTAGATTAAAAGTCTCAATTCAATTAAAAATTAAGTCATTTTTAGCGCTTATAAATCAACATTGAGGAAATTTGAATCATAAGCCTGGACCTGCAGTTTGAAAATTCCATTTTGCTTGCCAGTAAGGAATACATGAGAAGTGATCAACTTATACAGAGAAATACTTTTTTCTATGTTGCTCTGAAGAGTTGAAACATTTTAAAGTTACTGAGTTCCCTATCATCCTCAATCCCTTTGCAGGTCCCTGTCATCCTCAATCCCTTTGCCTTGAAAAAGACCCAGATAACTCTCTGTCCTTGTGATCACAGGAAAAATTAGGAATGAAATTTATCATACAGATAATGTTATAAATGATAGTTTAAAAATAAGTGTCTGAAGCCATTTTATAAACTGTAATAGGAATCCTTGCATCATACAGAGAAAAATAATGGATAAAAATAATCAGGAAAAAATTCTTAAAGGAGATTAATATTAGACAAGATCTGAAGTTTCTTGAAATAAAAATGGCTTTTCTGAAATATGAAAATTACTAGCTATTTTCCGTCTTTACTCAGAATACCTCTTTTCTGCATGGAGAGCAGAAAGAGCACTGCCCAGAAGCTGAGTGGTGTAAGTTTGAGTGCCCTCATCAGCTTTATAACTTTGGGTAAATCTATTTATCTTCCCTGGATCTCAGTTTTCTCACCTATAGAAGACGAATGATAAAATTTTTTACCTCACAAAGCTGTTTCAGAATTCAAATGAGATCTATAGAACATGTTTTGAATTTATGAGGTGTTTCCTTTTAATTAGAATCTATCAAGTGGAATCTCTCTAGTAAGCATAATTTGTAATTTGGTGTATTTAGTTATTATATAAAAGCTATATAATGTAACTACTAGAAAATATTAAAAACATATACAATTTTATTTCTGAGATAATAGCTATAATATCTGCCAATCTCCATTAAAGAAATATCATTAATAGAAGCTAACATTTACTGAGCATTTTACCATGTGCAGAATCGTGTGCTAAACTCTGCATATGTTATTTAATTCCATCCTCACAAAAATATAATAATTTTTATTATCTCCTTTTTACAGAGTAGCACTAAAGATTAAAGAGGCAAATTGCCCAATATAATTTTCCGTGAAAGGACTGGTATAATTGTGGTATTCTTTCTCCAGAACACACATAACTGACATATCCTTAAATAAATCATAGGTAGATAGAAAGATTAGATAGATAAATTTCTCATAAACAGAACTGAACTTATTCTTTATTTTATTTTTTAATTACTATTATTTTTTGGAGAGGAAGTGTCACTGTGTCACCCAGGCTGGAGTGCAACAGCGTGATCTCGGCCCACTGCAATCTCCGCCTCCTGGGTTCAAGTGATTCTCCTGCCTCAGCCTCCCAAGTAGCTGGGATTACTGTCACCTGCCACCACAAAAAGAATTGAATTTAAACAATTGCTTCCTTATCGTGCAAAGTCCTTCAATTGGAGAATATGTTTCACATTCCTAAAATCTTTAAATAATCGGCGTCCTATACCAGCAAAGTCAAATTGCGCTCAGTCATCACCAGTTGGCAAAATCATAAGGGCTGAAAAAATGTTTAGGTAAACAGAAAACACATTGTACTTACTATATGCCAAGTTTGATTCTAGATGTTTTACATATAGCTCATTTAACTCCCACAATGATCTTATAAAGTAGTCCATCACTACTATTCCCACTTCAGAAATGAGGAAACTGAAGCACAGAAAGAGTAAGTAACTTCCCCAAGGTTATAGATCTAGTGATTGGCAGAGTTGGTATTTGAACCCACGCAATGAGTCTTCAGGATCTATTTTCCTAACTACTATGCATATCCTGGGTCTGATGGCATCAAAGCCACCAAATATGTTTCTCATTTGAAAGCCTTAAACCTTCTACAATAATCAAAAGACTCCTTTTCTTCTAATCATGAAAAGTTTTTTTTAATTATATACACTATTTAGAGACAAAGACTATAGCTGCAACTAGCAAGATCATCACAGCATAGAGTCTGTGCCAACTTTTCTCAAATTAAATTTACAGTGGGGATGTAATAACAAGTGATGTGATACTGATCATTCATTCAGTCATTATTTGATTTGGCAAGTATTCTCAATCAAGTGGAGGAGGTCCACATGTAAACTGTGACAGTTCTCTGTGAAGGGGCTCAGGAAGGAAGCCCAGGAGAGACAGGACTGCCTTTTCAAACGTTGTCACTGAGTGGAATTCTGATAGATGAGTTAGAGTTAAACTGATGATGATGAGGATTGCAGGGTGTGGGCACAAAAGAATAGACAGGGCAGGAAGAACTTTCCAGGCCTAGCAAATAGAATATGTGAAGGTAAAAATCATTACACCATCCTCTTTGGGGAGTGCCAGCAAGTTGAGTATGATTCAGCACACAATCCACATAGGAAAGTGTCAGGAGATGAGGCTGACAAGAAGGCAAGTCTAGATTACAGAGTCTTGTGTGTTAAGCTTAAAAGTTAGCAATTGAATTAATTGGGGTGCCATAAAGAAAGATCCAGCCACAGGAGTAGAGTAGCTGCGATGGAAGGTGGGGGAGAGAAGTTGTGAAAAAGATGCCTGGAACCCTAACTGGTCTACTTTCAAATTTCAGCTTCAGCATTTACTAACTTTATGACTTTAGGCAAGTTACTTCACTTCCCTTTGCCTCAGTTTTCTCAAGTGTAAAATGTGGATAAGAATAGTACATTTATATAGAGTGTTATACATATTAAATATATTACATATAAAGCACTTATGTGCATAACATACTTTAAGCAAATATATAATTATCATTATCCATCTTTGCTATCAGAGAAAATGTTGATTGGAAGGAGAGCCAGAAGCCTGGATAGGAGTCATCTTAGAACACTAACCTCCTTACTATGTTAATCTCCTGATTCTCACCTATATGCATGCTTATGCTTGTCCAAATCTTAGACTGTATCTACTGCTCACACCTACCCTCCCAAGTATACTCCTTTGACTGGAGCAGCAACAGAGTACATTCTATATTCTTGCATAGATGTATTTAAGAGTTCAAGCATGGATGCCCAAAGATGTTTGGGAAGCTGATCTATTCACCCTGAGTGGTGACAACTCAACTTTATCTAGACTCCTCCTGAGGAGTTCATCAAATTAATCATAGTCTAGGACCCAAGATCTTTTTGCTATCTTTGCTGGGAGAAACTGCACAAGATTTAAAGATAGAACAACTCACAGCTCTGCCTCTTCAGACTGTGTAACATTAACATAATTTTTCTAGCATCTACTAATCTCCCCTGTGAGATAATGCTACCCATGGTAAGACTCAAATTAGATAATGGACAAAAAAGCAATAAACAATCTGCCAAACTAACTCTTGATCATTTTTGTGGTAGAATTTCAGGAACACCAGTATCAGACGTCTGAACTCTATGAACCAGAGCCTCTATGGGGTGGATTGTTTCTACTGGTCTACCCAGGTTCTTAGGTTAAACTTGATCTCTCTAAGACAATGCTAAAGAATATATATTAGTTGAAATAAGATTTGCGTAGTTAAAAATGTTTCCTCCTTTGTTTAACTCCATGAGCCTACATAAATTATTTCCAATAGAACAATTTCAAAGAATGCAACTCTTGGAATCTTCTGGGAAAGAGACTGTCTTAGTTCCTCTCATGAGGGATTTACAAAGGGCAGCCATATACTATTCTAGATCTCTTTCCTAACAGCAAGTTCTATCTCATGGAAAACTTTTCGTGCAATAGTGTTCTTGACTTCAATATCCCTCATAGAGACATTATAACACATGTGCATGTTTTTATGTCTCTTGTTACCTGACATTATTTTATTACTTATTAATCCTATCCTGTTCCTCTAATTGGCTCCAATTGAGGAAACAATTACTAGTCTTTGTGGAGCTGAAATATAAGGATAAATATTGAAAAAAATCTGCAAATGAGTTAGCATAGCACAATATATAGATTGCTTAAGGTATCATCTATTTGAGTTATATTTCTTAAGTACCAATATTAATTTATCTTTTCACTTAATATTTACTAAACATATTATCTGTGTCTGGTACTGCACTGTGAATATAAAACGAGGAGCACGACCCAATTCCTGACATAAAACCATTTATTTTAGAGCAGCAGTTTTAAATGATCTCCTTAAATCATCTTAGACTGAAGCATAATTTGTTAAGTCCTATACTTATCTATGTATAAGAGATTTTAGAGATTGATTTTTTCACACTCATCTAACCACTGGGAAACAAATAAGGTCAAGAGAGGGAATTAAATTATCTAAGTTTACTGATGGTGGTAAACCTAGTAAACCTAGGACTAAATTCCAACTGAAATTATATTGATACACACTTTAAATTGTAATATACTATTTCTTAAATTAATTACTAGAACAGACGTTGTAAAGCAGGTGAATAATTTACAGAAGTAAAGAATTTACCTTTGAATATAATTTGAATCAATGAAAATTGACCTTGCTTCTTTCACTGGTGGTTAAGGTATCATTCTAGATGGAAAGCTTACCCTGGACTTTTTCTTGAGTGTGGTCCCACCTCATGGATTTGAACAATCTGAGATCTTGGATCAGAAAAGCCTTTGAAATAAAAATGTGATTGATACCAAGATACGCACACTAAAAGACAGATTTATATAATGATGCTTCTCTTATATACATGCCACATTTCCTCTTGTACAGTCTAAAAAGTGGTCTTGAGTTTGTTTTCTCTTTCTCTCTCTCCTCTCTCTCTCTCCCTCACAAAGATAGTATTTTATGAGTTTACAACCATGCCATAGCTTCTAACCTTGGTATGCAAAAGACTTCTACATTCCTGGATGCCAAAGGGAAGAAACTCTCCGCAATCTTTATGCATCATCAAAACCCTGAGAGAAATGCTGCACAAGTGATTGGGTAAGCAGCTGGAGAATATGATTAGGCAGAGGTGCAAGTGTAGTCTCTACTAAATAACTCCTTGTAAAACCATTCTGAAAGCTGGCTGAAAACAACACTTTTAATTAGAGTATTGAAGGTGAAAAGTTGGTCAAGAATTCCAGCAGAAGTAGCAGCATGTTCAGAAACATAGAAATATGAGGAAGCTGCACATAGTTCAGAAGTTCAAACTGTGGAGCAGGACTGGGCAAAAATTGGAATTAGGATTGATAATTGATCTTGGAACAAGTTTTTCTACTAGAACAAGGCCTAAGGTGTAGAGTGGTGTTGTAGTATGAGAAATCTTAGTTATTATCCTAGATTTTCTTATCACCATGCAGACCCTACACCCCTACAGAATCTCATATGTGTATCAGAATCTGAGGCAGGATAGAACATGCAAACAAGAAAGTATAGGTTTGATGAAATAAGAGGGAGAGACTGGTAGGGCTAGGATGTATATGCTAATCAACTCAACTGAGCCATTTTACTATGTAGACATATTTATTTCAAAACATCATGTACATGACAAATATATACAAGTTTTACATGTCAAATAAATAAATAAGAAACCATGCACAGATGTGAACAGAGTGGTGGGGGGAAGTCAAATATTCACTTAAAAAGATAAAAACTAGAACTGCACTGTATTTATGTTATAGATTTCACCATTTCCTGTAAGTAATGGAAGCTCACCAAGTATTTTCAAGTATTTATTTACAGAATAATTACAAAAAGTTTTTTGGGAATATAAAGGACATAACGGCAATAAATTAAATAACTGCCATGATAAATAAAAAATAGACAACTTGAGTAAGCCGTTTCATTAAGAACTAATGAAATCTGAATGAAAAGTGCAATGTAGTTAGTAGTAATGTATCAATATTAGTTTGACAAATGTACCATAGTAATATAACAATAAGGAAAATAGCATGAGGTATAATTATATTATGTGATATTCAACATTTCTGTAAATCTATAACCATTCCAAATTTTAAAAATTATTAAATTTAAAAATGATTTTATAAAATCTTTCAAAGCATGTTATGAGCCAGAAATTTTGGGAGGGCCTATAAACATCAGCTTTATTCATTCCCTTTCATTCTTTTTTTAATTTCAACTTTTATTTTAGATACAGAGGGTACATGTGCAGGTTTGTTACGTGGGTTTATTGCACCAAGGTAGTAAGTATAGTACCCAACAGGTAGTTTCCCAACCCATCCCCCCACCCTTCATCACACCTTTTGTAGTCCACAGTGTCTACCGTTCCCATGTACATGTCCATGTGTGCTTAATGTTTAGCTCCCACTGGTACGTGAGAACATGTAGTATTTGGATTTCTGTTCTTGCATGAATTTGCTTAAGATTATTGCCTGAAGCTCCATTCATGTTGCTGCAAAAGACATGATTTCATTCTTTTGTATGGTTGCGTAGTATCTGATAATGTATGTACCATATTTTCTTTATCTAGTCTACCATTTATGGGCACCTAGGTTGATTCCGTCTTTGCTGAATAGTTCTGAAAAGAACATACAACTGTGTGTGTCTTTTTGGTCTTTTTGGCATAATCTATTTGGCATAATCTATTATATATATATAAAATATTTTATATATATAAAATATTATATATATATAAAATATTATATATTATATATATATAAAATATTATATATATATAAAATATTATATATAAAATATTTTATATATATATACACACACACACACAGAGAGAGAGAGAGAGAGAGAGGAAAAAAAAGGATTGCTGGATCAAATAGTAGCTTTGTTCTAAGTGATTTGAGAAGTCTCCAAAATTTTGCCCACAGAGGCTGAACTAATTTACATTCCCAACAACTCTGTACAAGCACTCCCTTTTTTCTACAGGCTCACCAGCATCTGTTGTTTTTTGACTTTTTCATAACAGCCACTCTGATTGGCATGAGATGGTATCTTATTGTGGTTTTGGTATGAATTTCTCTGATGATTAGTGATAAGCATTTTTTTGTATATTTGTTGGCTCCTTGCATGTCTTTTTATTGAGAAGGATCTATTCGTGTCCTTTTCCCATTATTAATAGGGCTATTTGTTTTTTGTCTGTTGTATTGTTTAAGTTCTATTTACATTTGAGATATTAGACCTTTGTCAGATGCACAGTTTGCAAATATTTTCTCCCATTCGGTAAGTTGTCTGTTTCCCCTCTTGATAGTTTCTTTTTCTGTACAGAAGCACTTTCGTTTACCCAGGTCCCACTTGTCAATTTTTGGTTTTGTTGCAATTTCTTTGGGGGGACTTAGCTAATTTTTTTCCCAAGGCCAATGTCAAGAAAAATATCTCCTAGATTTTGGTCTAGGATTTTCATAGTTTGTGGCCTTACATTTAAATCTTTAATCTATCCTGTTAATTTTCTTACATGCTGAAAAGCAAGGGTCTAGCTTCATCCTCCTGCACTTTGCACCTCAAGGAATTAGAAAATAAAGGACAAACCAACTCCATAGCTAGCAGAAGAAAAGAAATAACAAAAATTAGAGAACAACTTAATGAAAGTGAGGTGCAAAAATCTATACAAAACGTCAATGAAACCAAGAGTTAGTCTTTTGAAAAAATAAGATTGTTAGACTGCTAGTTAGATTAAAAAAATAGTAAAAAAAAAAAAAGAAGATCCAAATGAGTACAGTCAAAAAGTACAAAAATGACATTACAACTGATCCCACAGAAATACAAAAGATCCTCAGAGAATACTATGAACAACTCTATGCACACAAATTAGAAAATCTGGAAGAAACGGATAAATCCCTGGAACAACACAATCTCCTAAGATTGAATTAGGAAGAGACTGTAATCCTTAATAAGTCAATATCAAGCTCTGAAATTGAATCAGTAATAAAAAAAAAAAAAACTCTACTAACCAAAAAAAGCCCAGGACCAGAGGAATTCACAGTTGAATTCTACCAGACATATAAAGAAGAAATGGTACCAATCCTACTGAAAGTATTCCCAAAAAAATCAAAAAGGAAGGGCTCCCCCCTAACTCATTCTATGAAGCTAGCATCAGCCTAATACCAAAATCTGGCAGAAACAAAACAAAGAAAGAAAACATCAGGCCAATATCCTGATGAACATAGATGCAAAAATCCTCAACACAATACTAGCAAACCAAATTCAGCGGCACATCAGTAAGTTAATTCACCACGATCAAGTAGGCTTTGTTCCTGGAAACAAAGAGAGACTTGAAAATGCAAAAGGGAATACAAAACGCTCTTGCTTTTCTTAAAATAACGCTACCAATTCCAGCTATCAACAGGACATTTAAAATGATTTGCCAAGACTATACATTTTGCTATGAAAGAGAGCATCAGAAAAAGGGGATGTTGCAGCCGGCTTATACTAAGAGAAAGCCTGGAGCTCTATGTTCTTGAAACATGCCTGGTAATCCCTAGCACCACTCAAATCTTTCTGGTAACTCACCCACTACTCTCGGGCAGTTTCCTGCACTTCAGGATATTCAAAATATTACCTTCAGGATATCATACTGCTCTTCAGGATATTCAACGTATGCAAAAAACTCTAAAAGTGTAGAGCAGAGTAAAGCAAAAAAGAAGAACATGATGTTCCAGGTATGCCATTCTCACCCTCACCCATACTATTTAGAAATCTCCCAAATGGCAGCCTAGTTCCTAGTCTGTGAGGAGTCCTTCTGTAGCAATATATACATATATACATACGTACATATGGCTTCTTAAATATGAAGTCATTAACTCCCAACACAAAAATAAAAATATATTTTTTGTCCCTATATCAAGAAAGCTCTTACATGACCAGGGTTATTGGCATTTTCCAGTATATCCTAGTATTAGATGGAGTTTCAGACTTTTTTTCACAAGTATATTTTTCAGCTAAGTAATCATAAATACCTCTCTATGGCAATTCATTAGGAGATAAAGTGACAAAATATAAAAAACATTATAAAAATTTGTCATTATCTTATTATATAGTAAATAGAATAAAGACTTTTCATAGCCATAAAATATTGCAAGGATCCTATGTCAGAGATAGATAATCTTAAATATAAATGTTTAAGTTAACCTTTTTAGGGATCTTCCAGCTCTGAAGCTCCTATACAGGTATTATAGAAATTAAGTAATCTAGCCAGGTGTCGTGGCTCACGCCTGTAATCCCAGCACTTTGGGAGGCTGAGGCAGGCACATCACCTGAGGTTAGGAGTTCAAGACCAGCCTGGCCAACACGGAGAGACCCTGTCTCTACTAAAAATACAAAAACTAGCCAGGCATGGTGGCCGGTGCCTGTAATCCCAGCTACTTAGAAGGCTGAGGCAGGAGGATCACTTGAACCTGGGAGGCAGAGGTTGCAGTGAGCCAAAATCATGCCACTGCACTCCAGCCTGGGAGACAAGAGTAAGACTCTGTCTCAAAAAAAAAAAAAAAGAAAGAAAGAGAAAGAAGAAAGGAAGGAAGAAAGAGAGAAAGAGACACAGAAAGAAAGAGAAAGAAAGAAGCAATCTGTATAATTGGGATAAATACACTTTCTGAGGAGAAATAAAATATTAACTTAATTATATAATTATTAGCTTTCTTTTATTTTTTTTCTTTGAGACCGAGTTTTGCTCTTGTTGCCCAAGCTGCAGTGCAGTGGTGCGATCTCAGCTCACTGCAACCTCTGCCTCCCGGGTTCAAGTGATTCTCCTGACTCAGCCTTCCTGAGTAGCTGGGATTACAGGATTACAGGCATGTGCCACCATGCACGGCTAATTTTGTATTTTTAGTAGAGATGGGGTTTCTCCATGTTGGTCAAGCTGGTCTCAAACTCCTGACTTCAGATGATCTGAACTCCTTGGCCTCCCAAAGTGCTGGGATTACAAGCAGCTTTCTTGATTGATTACATTTTTTCTAAGTGGTCATGGGCAAGTCACTTAACTCAGAGTTTATTTTCAAAAATGAAGTTAGGTAAATTTATTCCTCAAACATGTTTGAGACTCAGAGGTAATAACTGTGAGCATCTCAAGAATGAGTGCTTTCAACCACAGTTCATTTCTTCCTCCTTTCGAGGCTAAAACTCTTAAACATTATGGTCAGTTGAAGAGCCAGCTTACCTATTCACCCTCACTGTAATTCCACTCAAAGAAAAACTCAATGTGAAACTGGGTACCTCTTCTTGAGAAGCCTCTACAACAGAATACTAACAGCTTCCATCACCCCTGCACTCCTGGACTTCCTTTCTCTCACACATAAACTTTGTTAAGAGCATATGTTCATTAGAGTGATGCCTGACTACATTTCTAAAACTTGGGACACTGTGGAACACAGTTCTGAGGTAAATACTACTACATAGGTGGTTGTTACTCTTCTCAGGCTTTGTTATAACAGAACAAAGAAATTCACACTACTTCAGAAGAGGATCTGATGAGACATCAGAAGGAACTTCCTAACACTAGGAATCATTAAATGCTGGAGGAAAGGAACACAAAAAGAGACATATCTTGTTTCATTTGAATAGATTAAAAAGTGGAACAAATTGAATAAATGAAGAGTACTTAGAACATGAAGATAGAAAAGTTGATCTTTCAATTAATGCTTGTTATCATTTGTGGCCAGTAAATTCTACTGAGTTCCCGAGTTCTCTTGATTATGGTCAAAAGGCATAGGTGGCTTTCCAGAGTGCCACCTGTGCTTTTAAATTGTAATCAAGAGTGATCTATTATAATCTTTAGGCTATCTTCTTTTTTATACCAAAGTCATCAAAATGGTTTTTAGACATGTACAAGATGAGTTAAGAGTCTTCCAAGAAAGAGTATGTTTTTCAAATCACCTCTTCTGCTCATTCTTTAACAAGGAAATGGAATGTCACATGGTTTTATCCTCAGCTTCTTCATAGCTGTCTTCATATCAGCATTTCTGAGTGTGTAGATGAGGGGGCTCAACATAGGTGTCATCACTGTGTAAAACATGGAGAATATCTTATCCACAGAGAAGCTGCAGAAAGGCCTCAAATAGATGAATATACATGGCATGAAGATCAGGCTGACCACTGTCAGGTGAGAAGCACAGGTAGAGAGGAACTTGTTCTGGCCCTGGCCGAAGTGTGTTCTCAGGGTGATCAGGATGACAGCATAAGAGAATAGTAAGACCAAGAAGCAGACAAGAGAGAGCAGACCACTGTTGGCTATCATCAGCACCTCTACCACATAGGTGTCCATGCAGGCCAGCTTGATGACCTGTGGGACATCACAGTAGAAGTTGTCCAGTTCATTGGGGCCACAGAAAGGCAGCTGGATGACTAGTATGACCTGCATGATAGAGTGGATAAAACCCCCACACCAGCAGGCAAGAACCAACCAAAGGCACAGCTGGGGGTTCATGACTTATAAGGTAGCGCAAAGGGTTACAGATGGCAACATACCTGTCATAGGCCATAACTGTCAGCAAAAACATCTCACTGGCTCCTAGAAAGTGGAGGAAGTAGATCTGGGCCAGGCATCCTGAAAAAGAGATGCTCTTGCCCTGCTGTAGGAAATCCCCTAACATCTTTGGCAGAGTAACACAGCTTAGGCATAGGTCAATGAAAGAGAGATGACCTAAAAAATAATACATAGGAGATTGGAGCAGATGAGCATGGGCTTGCACTGTTACCACTATCAAGAGGTTTCCCAGGACAATAGCAATGTAAAAAAACAAAAATAGTAATAAGAGAAATAGCTGCAGCTCCCAAGAAGATGATAGGCCCAGAAGAACAAGTTCTGTCACGTTAGAATCTTGTTTTTTTTCATCAAGCCAAGAATATCAAGTGACCTAGAGAAAGAAGAATTAAATCAGAACAAGGGAGATTTAAGGTATCAATCTATCTACGTATCTATCTATCTATATAGATAGATATAGATATACACTATATATATAGTATGTAATACATAAATTACATAAAAATTATTTTAGCAAATTCTATGAGGTAGTATAGGCAGTAGTCTTATATTGATAGAACATTGAATTTTGTTCACTTCTTCCAACTCTTTATTCCTGTACTACTTTTAAATTGCATTCACAATAAACTAGAAAGAAACACAATGACCTGGACATGAGGTGGTAAGTGCTAATCTTTCCATTTCTTTTAATAGACAGAATAATGTCCTCTAAGGACAAAAGTTCTGGAATGGAGTATCTAGATCGAATGCCTAGCTCCACCATTACCAATGGAGTACTCTCAGGCAAGGAAATAAACCTCTCTGAATTTTGTTCTTTGGTTATTCAATTTAATGCAGAGTTAATAATATCTCCCAAGATTGTTCTGAGAATCAAATGTAATGCCTATGTGCACCATAAAAAAAAAACTAGATCTCTCAAGATGAGGAAATATCTTACTCATCTTTGTATCCACAACACAATATTTACTGCATAGCAGAAGCTCAATAATTTATCAAATCGAAGGAAGAATGTTTTGTAAACAACAAATTGCTATGTTGTACAAAGTTTAGTAGTTACTGTGAATAAATATATTAGGAAACAAATCATTTAGGAAGGATTGAAAAAGCTCATATTTTTTGTCTTTACTATCCCAGGTTACAGAAATTGGGAAGTTTGTAAAAATGAGGTAAGAAGAAACAGTCTCAATCTTTAAGATTTAGGGAAGCATCAGACTGGGGATGAGTAGGACAATGATTAAAAGACACCAATCACCAAGACAAGAGACCAAGAGCCATGACCCATATCGTGGAGGCATGCACAAAAGCCCACCATGACCCTTTTACAGGACAAAGTAATAAGAGAAACCAGAGTTGTGTTGCTTCTGGACTTTTCAACAACCATAGATACATAAGAAAATAAAAGATTTGCTAAGATATTGTTAGATATATTTTCCCCTGCTCTACACTCATATTCATCCCCAATGTTTGGTGACAGTACCTTGGATTACAAACAGAAAATCAGAGAATGTTGATACATTTCTTCCATTGCAGTAAAAATTAGTAGATGTCTCCCTGTCTAGAATTTTTTTTTATCTAGAACCAGCTATAGACAAAATATGAAATAAGACAAGATTTTATTTTGTGTTCCAAGCTTTGTAATCCATGTTGCACTTGGTTCTATCAAGTCATTCAGAGAATGTTATCCAATAAAATCCTTCATAATAGATATCAGGTATTTACATAGACAATGCAGAAAAGTACTTAAATTCTAAAAATGAAAACCTCTAATGACAAGAAAACTTTCTCTAGGGTATTATTCCAAGATAAGCCAGTGAGAGAGAGATTTGGGGCTCAAGTCACATTTGGACGCCTCTGTCACACCATGATTGTGACCATCCTCTTCATCTACCTATATAGCCAAGTGCACAGGTGCATCTAAATCTATAATCTCATAACTGATAGAAGGAATCACCTCACTTTCTAGAGTCAATTGGAAAATAAACCAAAGCAAGAAATACAAGTTAGGGAACGATTTGCTGTTATGTGTACAGCCCTACTTGAGCTCTGCTATATTGGAAATTCTCTAATCTTTTTTGGATGCACCAAGGATTGTAAAGTTCCATAAGAAAACATCATTTTGATGTTCTTTTCAGTTATCTAAAATGTATAATTAACAGGGGTCAAGTCTCATTAAAATTATGCATCTAATTTTTAAAATAATCTTGGGAAAACTGGAAAAGTCTGAGAAAGAGAAACCAAAGTTATTTTTTTAATTAAAAAAGGTTTCTAGAAGCCAGAAAACAATGGGAACACATAATCCTACACACTGTTATAATTTAGTCTCAGAATATGGCTGAGAAACAATGTGATTATTTCCTAATGTGAAGGGCATAGTATACCAAGGGTGTACGGTACACTTGTTATTTCCACTGAACATATGTTGGGAAAGAAAAGATTACATTAAAACAGACAATATTAAAATTAAATAAATCAGAAGGATAGATTAAATAAGAGAAGAATATGTAAAATATGTTATAAGCCAAATTACTACAAACCATTTATAAGCCTGATTTTATGGCCTACTTGTTTAAAGTAAGATTTAATATTAGGAAATTTCAGCACTATAAATATTCTGGACAGTTCCTAGGTGATTACTGTGATAAGATTTTGATTAATAATGATATAAAAATCTTTACACTTGCATAAGTTAAAAATAGGCAGCCCTGTATGTTAGTTATTTGAGTTTTAATCAAGGTAAGGGCTGGATTCTGGTTATTCTTGGATTTTTTTTTTAATGACAGTAAATTTGCAATCTTCAGACAATATAAAACATAATACTAAACAATATAGAAAGCTCCCTTTTAGGTTTAATAACATTTCCACATTTGGTTGAGTCATCTCCCAGCTTCTGAAGTCTGATCACAGTAGGAAATTAAGCCTGTCACTGTTCTGCAAAGAATAAAAAGAACAATACACCCAACAACATGAACGAATGTCTACATCCCAAAACTAACCCCAGTCACAATATAATTTCCCTTGCCAAAGCCCTGCAGAGCTTGGAAAGCCACATTCAAAAATACCAGCTCCATTATCCCATTAGCAGTAAGATCAGACCCTACCAAGCATTTCATGTTTCATATCCTAAAAATAACCTAAGAATGTGAAAAAGTCAATAAAAATATTTTTAAGTACACAAAATGAGCCAAAAAAATTGAGAATGCTTAATGCAAAATGAAAGTCTTTATGGAAGGGTCCTGCTTAGAGAGAAGAGGACAAACTAAAGCACCTTAAATAATCAAAGGCTACTTGTGTACAGCTGAGCAGCTGGTCTCTTGTCTTTCTAAACAAGGAACCAGAGATGTTTATGAGGAAAATATGAAGAAAAGGAGTAAAATTTTTCTCCTGGTAACTTGTGCATGTGTGTGTTTTAAGCATAACAGTATACCATATTTTGCTATTATGTTTGTCTTGTATTTATTTTGGTCTGTGTGGAGCTAAATGCATTATTAGAGGAGGAAATTTGACTATCTCAACAATAGAAAATAATTGGCTAGCTGGAGTTTCAATTCCATATGAATTCCTTTTAGACGCATTTGATGCATTTTTAAATTTCTCCTGAAAAACAAGAAGTGGACACCATTAGTTGAAGATGGTACCTATAGTGGTATTCTCTATTGAGAAAGAAACAATCTTTCTGTTCTAAACTTCTTTGGCCTTGTTTGAAACATTGCATTCTATATTGTACCTGTGGAACGTAAAGAAGATTTTAGTAAAAAGAAACTTTAATAATTAAAGAAATGGAAAACAGAATCTAGAAGGGACTATAACAGAATTAGGTAGTCTTAAGACAATATTGCCATGAAACCTGTGCCTTCAGTTATGTAAATTTGGTCCTATCGTATCCAAATATTGCAACTGTCTTCTAAGATGCCACTAGCCCTAGAATTCCTTGATGCTATAGGAATTTCACTGTTCTGTGAATGTTTCTAAGTGTAAATTTAAAACAACAAAACTCAAATGATCTCTTAAATTTAAAAATGATCAATGCCAGAGTATATAGAGAAAAAGAGTGAGGACAACAGTAAACATAAAAATAGCATCAGAGTCAGACAGAGGAGCAGGAAGGGGAGGGGAGCTTTGAGTAAATATATCTGAGAAACCTACATCTTTGCTTGTCAGAAGCTATGTGGTTTCAAGGAAGGAAGATGTTATCCTGCCATTCATCCTACCAACCCTCTCTTCAGCCTCAGGCCAGCAAAATGGACAATCCTCAGGTGACCATCACAGCTGCCCAGCACATGTCTTAATTGCTTCCTTATAAGCCAAGCCCTAGTTGACGGCTGGCTGTATGAACTGGAAATATCTCCTATCCCTAGGACTCTAGCTGTATCTGAGGTTGCTATGGTTCTTACAACACTACTTAGCTTAATGAGCCCTGGGATTCCCTAGGCTGCTGCTGTTTGAGTTCTGTTAAATTTAGTTCTTGCTAGGAAGTTGACCTTGGGACCTGCAGGCTCTGAAGCAATTAGACCTGTTGCATAACAGAACCCACTTATTTTACTTACTTTGGATTGATTTATTTGTAATTTGTCATTGATTTGTTTGTATATGCCATCCATTTTCAATGCCTCAGTCTGTATCTGAAGAAGATTCTCACTGGTTTTTATCTCAATCATGCTCCTTGAAGTAGCAGAAGCTGAAGGATAAATACCAACCTAAGGTATTTATCTCTGAGATAATTCCAGGGATAGCTTGGTATTTATCCTTTAAGGTAATATAGAGTGTCTTGATACAACACCTGATTTCTTGAAACCTCAAGCAGCTTACCTACTGGCATTTATTCATAGATCGTATCCAGAAAACACAGCTGTTGTCATTAGTAATTTAATTTTTTATAGACTGTCAGTCTAATTTTTAAATATCATAAAACATAATTCTCAAACAAATACATAATGAACACATCAAAAACTGTATTTAATTAATGAGGGATAGCAGGATAACAAAGTCCGTTCCAAAAAGAATATGAAAAGTGTGATTTTACATAATCACAGCAAAAAAATGAACACTAAAATAAAATTGTTAAATTTGATGTAATCCAGTTAATGTCTCATGACACAGATTTACCTATATAACAAACCTGCACGTGTACCTCTGAACTTAAAAGTTAAAAATATCAACATAACAAAAATATTCATATTTTTTCATACAGCTATAAAAAGGGGCAATACGACCTTAATCTTTGGGATTATCTTTTCTACCACACTAAAAAGATACAATGTAGCAGTTTTCTATAACATCTAGCTATATGTAATTATACAATGTCTGAGATTCCATAATTCATATATAGTAAGTTAAACAAAATCACATTTGCTAGAGAGTCAGATGACCCTTAGCTGGGCTTGCTAAACAATGTTTTTTGTTTTGTTATTTTTTATTTCTGTGGGTACAGAGTAGGTGTATACATTTATAGAGTATGAGATATTTGGGTACAGGCATACAATACATAATAATCGCATCATGGTAAATGGGGTATTCGTCCCCTCAAGCATTTATCCTTTGTGTTACAAACAATCCAATTATATTCTTTTGGTTATTTTTAAATGACAATTGAGTCATTATTGACTATATTCACCCTGTTGTGCTATCAAATACTAAATATTATTTATTCTTTATATCTTTTTGTACCCATAACTATCCCCATTTTTCCACATCCCACACCTCCACCATCCTTCTCAGTTTTTGGTAACCATCATTCTACTCTTTATCTGCATGATTCGATCGTTTTAATTTTCAGTTCCCACAAGTAAGTGAGAATATGGGAAGTTTGTCTATCTGTGCCTAGCTTATTTCACTTAACACAATAATCCCCATTTCCGTCCATGTTGTTGCAAATGATCTGATTTTTTTTATGGCTGAATAGTACTCTATTGTATATGTATGTGCCACATTTTCATTATTCATTCATCTATTGATGGAAACTTAGGTTGTTTCCAAATCTTGGCTATTGTGAACAAAGCTAAAACAAACATGAGAATGCAGATAACTCTTTGTTATACTGCTATTTTTTCTTTCGGGTCTACATCTAGCAATGAGGTTGCAAGATCGTAAAGTAGCTCTACATTTAGTTTTTGGGGGAATCTCCAAACTGTTTTCCATAGTGGTTGTACTAATTCACATTCCCACTGACAGAGTATGAGAGTTCCCTTTTCTCCTCTTCCTCACCAGCATTTGCTATTGCCTGTGTTTGGATAAAAGCCATTTTAAATGGGGTGAGATGATACCTCATTGTAGCTTTGAGGAACATTTCTCTGATGATCAATGGTGTTTGAGCACCTTTTTATGTATCTGTTTGCTATTTGTATTGTCTTTTGAGAAATCTCTATTCAGATCCTTTGCCCATTTTTAAATTAGATTATTAGGGTTTTTTCCTATAGAGTTGTTTCCTGGTTATTAATCCCTTGTCAGATGGGCAGTTTGCAAATATTTTCTCCCATTCTGTGGGTTTGATCTTCACATTGATTGTTTTTCCTTGGATGTGCAGCAGCTTTTTAACTGGATGTGATCCCACTTGTCCGTTTTTGCTTTGGTGACCTGTGTTTGTGGAGTGTTGCTCAAGAAATCTTTACCCAGACCAATATCTAAGAGAGTTTCCCCCAATGTTTCCTTTTAGTAGTTTAATTTTTTGAGGTCTTAGATTTAAGCCTTTAATACATTTTAATTTGATTTTTGTATATGCCAAGAGATAGGGGTCTTGTTTCATTCTTCTGCATATGGATATCCAGTTTTCCCAGCACCATTTATTGAAGAGACTGTTCTTTCCCCAATGTATGTTCTTGGCACTTTTGTAGAAAATGAGCTCACTGTTGATGTACGGATTTGCTTCTGGGTTCTCTATTCTGTTCCATTGACCTATGGGTCTGTTTTTTATGCCAGTACCATGTTGTTTTGGTTACCATAGCTTTATAGTGTAGTTTAAAGTCAGGTAATGTGATTTATCCAGTTTTGGTTTATTTGTTCAGGATAGCTCTGGGTATTCTGGGTCATTTGGTTATATCAATTTTAGGATTGTTTTTTCTATTTCTGTGAAGAATGGCATTGGTATTTTGATAGAGATTGAATCTGTAGATTGCTTTTGGTAGTATAACATTTTAACAATGACTGTTTCAGCTAATGAACATGGAATATCTTTCCGTTTCTTTGTGTCTTCTTTAGTTTCTTTCGTCAATGTTTTATAGTTTTCATTGTAGTGATTTTCACTTTTTTGGTTAATTCCTAGGTATTTAATTTTATTTGTAGCTATTGTAAATGGGATTACTTTCTTGATTTGTTTTTCAGACAGTTCACTGTTGACATATGGAGATGCTACTGACTTTTATATGTTGATTTTGTATCCTGCAACTTTACTAAATTTGTTTATCAGTTCTAATAGTGTTTTGGTGGAGTTTTTAGGTCTTTCCTAATACAAGATCACATCATCTGCAAACAAGGATAATTTGACTTCTTCCTTTCCAATTTGGATGCCTTTTATTTCTTTCTCTTGTCTGACTGCTTTAGCTAGGACTTCTAGTACTATAGTCAATGAAGTGGTAAAAGTTGGCATTCTTGTTGTGCTCCAGATATTAAAGGCTTTCAGTTTCTTTCCATTCAGCAAAATTCTATCTGTGGGTCTGTCATATATGGCTTTTATTATGTTGCAGTTTGTTCCTTCTATACCCAGTTTTTTAGAATTTTTATGATGAATGGATGTTGAACTTTATCAAATTTTTCAGCATCAGTTGAAATGATCATATGGTTATTCTCCTTCATACTGTTTATTGTTTATCATATTGATTGATTTGCACATATTGAACCATTCTTGCATCCCTGGGATAAATCCTACTGTGGGAGCTAAAAATTAAAACAATTGAACTCATGGAGATATAGAGTCGAAGGAAAGTTATCAGAAACTGAGAAAGATAGTGGTTAGGGGGATGGGAGGGCAGGTAGGGATGGTTAATGGGCACAAAAAGTAGTTAGAAAGAATGAATAAAATCTAGTATTTAATAGTACAAGAGGATGACTATTGTGTATTATAATTTAATTGTACATTTTAAAGTAACTAAAAGAGTGTAATTGAATTGTTTGTAACCCAAAGGATAAAAATGCTTGAGGGGAATGGATACCCCATTTACCATTATGTGATTATTATGCATTACATGCCTGTATCTAAGTATCTCATGTACTCAATAAATATATGCACCTACCACATACATACCAAAGTTTAAAGTCAATTAAAAAAAAAGAAAAAGCCAGGCACGGTGGCTCACACCTGTAATCCCAGCACTTTGGGAGGCCAAGGCAGGTGGATCAACTGAGGTCAGGAGTTCAAGATCAGCCTGGCCAACATGATAAAACCCCGTCTCTACTAAAAACACACACACAAAAAAATAGCTGGGCATGGTGGTGGGCACCTGTAATCCCAGCCACTCGGGAGGCTGAGGCAGAAGAATCACTTGAACCCAGGAGGCGGAGGTTGCATTGAGCTGAGATGGCACCATTGCACTCCAGCTTGAGCAACAAGAGCGAAACTCTGTCAGAAAGAAAGAAGAAAGAAAGAGAGAGAGAGAGAAAGAAAGAAAGAAAGAAAGAAAGAAAGAAAGAAAGAAAGAGAAAGAAAGAAAGAAAGAAAGAAAGAAAGAAAGAAAGAAAGAAAGAAAGAAAGAGAAAGAAAGAAAAGAAGGGAAGGGAAGGGAAGGAAAAGAGAGAGAGAAAGAAAGAAAGAAAGAGAAAGAAAGAAAAGAAGGGAAGGGAAGGGAAGGGAAGGAAAAGAGAGAAAGAAAGTAAGTAAAAAGAAAGGAAGGAAGGAAGGAAAGAAAAAAAGAAAAAGAAAAGAAAGAAAGAAAGAAAAGAAAGAAAGAAAAGAAAAAGAAAGAAAGAAAAAAGAAAAGAAAGAAAATAAATTACAAGGCAATAACATGATCTTAGATGCGAAAATTCTCAACAAAATACTAGCAAACTGAATCCAATAACACATTAAAAAGACAGTTCACCACGCCCAAGTGGGTTTTATTCCAGGAATTCAAGGGTTATTCAGTATAAATGAATCAAAAAGTTTGATACATTACACTGATAGAATAAAAGACAAAAAGTGTATGATCATTTCAATAGATACAAAAACAGCATCTGATAAAATTTATCATTGCTTCATGATAAAAATTAAACAAATTTAGGCATAGAAGGAGCATACCTCAACATAATAAAGGCCATATATCAGAAACTCACAGTGAAAATCATACTGACATAGGACAAACAGAAAATCCTTCTTCTAAGAACTGAAAAACGACAAGGATTCTCACTTTCACAACACCTATTTCATATAGTATTGGAAGTTTTGGCCAGAGTATCAGCAAGAGAAAGAAATAAAACGCATTCAAATTGGAAAAGAAGAAGTCAAATTGTTTCTCATGGCAGATGACATGATCTTATATAGAGAAAAACATAAAAACGTTATCAAGACAACTCTTAGAAGTGATAAGTGAATTCAGTAACGTTGCAGAATACAAAATCAGCATACAAAAATCAGCAGCACTTTTATGTGGTAATAATCAACTGTCTGAAAAGAATTCAAGATAACAATCTTATTTACAATAGCTCCAAAATAAAAAAATATAATTCTTAGGAATTAATTTAACCAAGGATATGAAAGATACCTATAATGAAGCCATAAAACACTTATGAAAAAAATTTGAAGACAGAAATAAATGGAAAGATAATCCTGCATTCGTGGATTCAAATAATTAATATTGTTAAAATGTTCACACTACCCAAAACAAGCTATGGATTTATCAAAATAACAATGACATCCTTCAGAGAAATAGAAAAAACAATCCTAAAATACGTATGGAATCTACAAAAGACCTGGAATAGCCAAAGCAGTCTTGACCCAAAAGAACAAAGTTGGAGGCATCATACTACCTGACCTCAAAGTATACTGTAAAGCTATAGTAACCAAAACAGCATGATACTGGCATAAAATCAGATGCATAAACCAATGGAATAGAATACAGAGCCCAGAAATAAATCCACAGGTGATACACAGTCACCTAATATTTTGACGAAGCTGCCAAGCACACACAATGGGGAAAGGACAGTCTTTTCAATAAATGGTATTCGGAAAACTGGGTATCTATATGCAGAAGACCGAACTTATACCCTTACTTCATACCATATACAAAAAATCAACAAAAAATAGTTTAAACACTAAAACATGAGACCTAAAGCTGTAAAACTACACAACATTGATGTAGGCAAAAGCTAAGGCAAGAAAAACAAAAATAGACAAATGAGGTTACATCAAAATAAAAAGCTTCTGCTCAAAAGAAACAACAGAACCAAAAAATGACCTACAGAATAAGAGAAAATTTTTGCAAATTATACATCTGATAAGGGGTTAATATTCAAAATATATAAGGAACTCAAGCAACTCAATAGCAAAAAACAACACTACCACCAAATAATTCAATTTAAAAGTGGGCAAAAAACCTGACTAGATATTTTTTAAAATATGACGTGCAAATGACCAAAAAGCATATGAAAAAATCCTCAGCATCACTGATCATCAGGTAAATGCAGATCAAAACCACAATGAGATAGCACCTCAGCCCAGTCAGAATGTTCATGATCAGACAAAAGATGGTAATAGTCAGTAAGAATGCAGAGAAAAGGGAACGTTTATACACTGTTGGTGGTAATGTAAATTTGTATAGTCATTATGAAAAACAATATGGAGGTTCCTCAAAAAATTAAAAATATATGTAGTATATGTTTGAGTATCCAGTAGGCATTCAGTAAATATCTGTGGAATAACTAAATGTCAATCAAATTTCTTGTGCTCTACATAAAATTCAACTCAAATATCTCTAATAACTCTGCAGGTACAAATATTTGATGACCAGAGAATGATTTTTCTTCAAAATAGATCTAGAGAGTATTATGGTAAAGCTAACCACTGTAGCTAAAATGACAATCCCTTTTACTACTTAATTATTCCTCAGGAAGTTTTGACAATACATGAACACGAAAGAAGAAAGAAAAGATAAGATCTGCTTCTACATTTTCACTATTCTTTAGGGGACAGTAAGAACTGGCTTTTGATTGTGAAAATTCAAAATGTTATCCTCTTTTAAACAAACACTATCAAAATATCCCAAGAGAGACAGAGCTCCAAGTCCCAAAAGGCTATAGTGCAAGTAAATAGATATATATAATACACTCACTTGAGCTTGCATTTTGACCATTAATATATGCTTTGAAGGTGGGGAAAATCTTTTAGGGTTTACTTTTTGCAACCCATGAGAGATAACAAACAGGATCATGCAATTTCTTGGAAGTTCTTCACATGTCTTTGGCTCTGGGGAATAATATTTTGTCTCCTGTCCCTGACCTTCTCAGCATTCACTCAAAGAGCGAATGGGAAGTATATAACATGTGAGTCACCCAGTTTTTTTTGCAAAAATCATAGAAAATGTTTTCTTCTTGTCTTTGAGAAAACTAAAAATATATCTCAGAATGAAAAGCTGGCAAAGAATGAAGCTGAAAAATATAAGTTTTTCTTCTTGTTTCCCTGAAATCTGGAAAATATTTTCCAATTATGGTTCATATCCCTTTAAAATATGAATAGCCATATATACAAAAAGAATAGTATTTCAAGTGAAGATGTATATTAACTGATGAATTGCTGGAGAAGGGTATATTTTGGTAATTTTTGTTACTTGGTGAGCAGAAGAAATATGGCATATTTCTCTTTCCAGCAATATTTTCTTTCTTAAGCCCAAATACTGATTTTTCAGTTCCATTACATTAATAAGACTTGGTATTATACAAATTAGTTATTATTTAAGAAACAAAAATCTTCAGCTCATATGACTTTTTCTTGTTTTTGTTGTTATTTGGGCTAGAAGTTAACCGGAGGGTAATCAGGGGAAAAGTTTTATGTTTCGGATTTGCCTAGATAGGAAAGGCCTCAGAAAACAACCACAGTGAGATGCAAAATAACACCAAAGGTCAAAGGAAGAAAAGGAACATGTGGAAGAAAGCAGTGAATAAAAAACATGGAAACTTTTGTAATATAAACTTTATCTGCCTTTCTTATTTTCCTGCAGCTGACTTGACCATGATTAACAAAAAACAAGCACATTGAACTTGGCCACAGTCACGCAGACCAGCTGTTCTCCCTAAGGTCAATGTCATAATAGGCATATGAAGTTCTTACATTCACCTGGAAGCATATAAAAATATTTAGTCAGAGCAATTTAAGAGCCAAAGTATGGCACGCTTCCTCACAGCATATAGCATATCCAGCTGCCTAAAAATGAAAGAATGTATTTTTTATGCTAAACATTGGTACAGATACATGAAACAGCATAAAAGACCATATATTCTCTAATGACAGAGTTCTTTCTTATTACCACTTTAAAACACTACAAGTAACCGGGAGTAGCTGAAATTGAAAGTAAATATTAATTTGTGCCCTGGCATGGCACTATATTGAGAAAGAGTATTTTTAAATATCTTGGTTTTGTATTTTATTTTTATACCACTAATAATAATGAATCAGGTATTCATAGTACTGTTGAAAGAACTACATACCCAGATAAATACAGTATCAATAATGCAGGTAAACAGAAGAAAGAGTAGACCCATTGTATATAGGTAATTTATTGGAATCACAAAATTTGCATTCCTGGTTTCAAGTCTAGTGTTCTTAGCAAGAAAAAAAACTCTCCACAATTCATATTTTCCCTTCTATTGTTGTGATTTATTAAAATAAACGTGTAGGAATTGAGTCATGAAAGTCACAGTTTTGTTGTTTAAACAAAAGTCTAATTGTTTACTACTTTATAATATACATGATGAAGAATTTTGGTTGTTTCCAAGAAGAAACAGCACGCTCCCTTTCATGTTTCAGTTACCTCTGCCATCTCCATGTCTTCCAGACTAATGAATGTGTTCAGCATGGAAACTATCAATTTTGTTAGCTGCCTTATCCTCATGGGCTTTCCCTCAAGCCCAGAAATGCAGCTCCTCTACTTCGGTCTCTTCTCAGTAGCCTATACTCTCACCCCGATGGGAAATGCAGCCATTGTCTGTGCTGTGTGGTAGGACCAGCACCTTCACACTCCCATGTACACCCTCTTGGGAAATTTCTCTCTCCTGGAAATATGTTATGTTACTGCAACTAAACTGCTGGCCAACTTCCTCTCCACAAGCAAGTCCATCTCATTCATGAGTTGTTTTGCACAGTTCTACTTCTTCTCTTTGGGGTATGATGAGGGCTTCTTCCTTTGCATCACGGCCTTTGACAGGTATCTTGCCATCTGCCGCCCTCTACGTTATCCATGCATCATGACTAAACAAGTATGCACTGGCCTCATCATTTTTGCATGGTCATGTGTCTTTGTAATCTTCCTAACTCTGGTGATTCTCATTTCACAGCTATCCTACTGTGGCCCAAATATTATCAACCATTTTATTTGTGATCCCGTCCCATTGAAGATGCTGTCCTGTTCTGAAGACATCATCATCACCCAGCTCATTTACTCCACATTCAATTCTGTCTTCATGATTGGCACCTTTCTCTTTATTCCTTTGTTCCTATGCTCTGGTGATTCTGGCTATAATACGGATGCCTTCAGAGGCTGGCAAACGAAAAGCTTTCTCCACTTGTGCCTCTCATTTGGCAGTTGTCACCTTATTTTATGGCTCTATCCTGGTGATGTATGTTAGTCCTGGATCAGCACACCCAGTAAAAATGAAAAAATCATTACCTTGTTCTATTCTGTGATAACACCACTCTGTAATCCTCTAATATATAGTCTCAGGAACAAAGAGATGAAAGATTATCTGAGGAAAATCTTCAGGACTGGAAAAGATGTTAATAAAATATAAATAAGAGAATTTTCATTTATCAAATTAACTTTATTATACATGAATATTTGTCTACAAATTTATTGTTTTATTTAAGAACTGCTATAATAATGAGCCATTAACATCTTAAACACCACTCACCACAATCTGCATTACTGTGGTCTTATTTAAGAATGTTTCAACAGTGAATTAGATTTTCTGTTGAAGTGAATAATACGTATGTAAAATTCTATGTCTATGCTAATCAGAACGTGTATATGTAACTCAACTTTTTAAAAAGAATGCAGACGTCCTTTTTGTATTACTGAGCTAAAGCAATTGGTAACACATGTGACAGATATCATAGACTGCTCTCACAATTAACACTATAATCCAATCATTATCCACTAAGAGATACTGGCTGAAAAAGAGCCAAGTTTTAAGTAGTCCAGCTTGTCAAAATGTAGCAAGTGGTCTTTACATTATATAAATAGACTAATAGCCTTAGTTTGATATTCAGTGTTTTTTCAGAGAGTACACAACCAAGAATTAGGAATTTAAAGCAGATTCGTTACCTGGAATATAGTGCAGCAAAGACCTAAACAAAAAGGTGAGCATTACTCAGGATATAGCTTTCTTTGTTGTAAACCCAGTTTAAACACAGGATTTGATACCATAACTAATTTAGTATTAATACTGTGTGACTTATTTGAGTACTGCTGGACAGTACTAAAATAAAACTCTTAAAATCCATTTTATAAAATATTTGACTAATATCTTGCTTTAATTTTGACTTTTGTTTCGTTCTATGCCATTTTTTCAAATACAACTCTCAAAAACTTAATGAAAAGGAATCACAATATGAAATGTAGTTTACAGAGTTTTAATTTGTAAGCCATCATAGCTATTTGCTCCACAAAATGAGGTGCAACTGCAATTAGTTTTTGTGTCACAAGGAAGCTGAGTTGAGAATATTTTCTGGGTTTGAAAGGCAGGATTTATATGAGTTCTGGGGAAAAGAGTGGTTGTTTTATTATACCTCACATGTGAAATGTAAATTAAATAGCTAAATACTTGCCTGAAAGCCTCTTTTATATAGGAAGAAAATACAAACAATTTAGAACTTCATTCAAACTGACTTCAACGGTGGGATCTCTTTAAAGTGCTGATAAATTTAACACTGAGTTTCACCTGTCCATGCCAGTTTTGTTTATATTTCTTAATTATATGAGAAAAAATGATAGAAATTCTTAATAAAATATAATCTCAACTGTTATAAATGTGCACAGTGCCCATATTTGTAATTATCTTCAAATTGATCATTAACCAATCTTATCTTACCAATATTAAATTCTATCTCATATTGAGCTTGCTGGCACTTGATAGAATGAATTGAAAACTATTAGATACAGTAAAAAGCATTTCCATAAGATACAAACATGCCTTCATTGTGACAATATCTCTTCCTCAGTTCATACCTATGGCTTCATGGTATTTCACACAACCAGCTAATAAATGAAGAAAGAGCCTCAGGCTTGGATCACAAATGGATTGTCTGAATCTACACTTAGACAAGATAAAAACTGACTAATGCTGCAGCTTAACGCCTCTCCAGGGTAGCCATAGAATGTAGTGGTGGAGGAAATCCTCGTAAGCCAATGATTCGGTAGCAATATACTTAGTTGTCCACTTTGAATGTTGGGAGAAATAGCTTGCTATGCAAGATAAGGATATGTGTAGTATAATGATTGTTGTAAAAAAGTTTCACTAAGCAAACCCCCTCAAAATACAGAAAAATCAGATTTAATGAAATTTGAGGTGGAGGCCTATGTATGGGCCTATGAGAATAAGCACAAAGTATGCAGATCTTTGTTTCTCAACTCTGTGCCCATTAGAGAGTATCCTCCAGAGTGGAGGCACTCAATAGCTAAGTGAAAAGAATGAGTCATCTAAAAATGTCAGTCAGCTCTGATTTCATTCACCTCAGAGCTTATAAAAGGGAATATAAAGAAAGCTGTATAAATGGAAAATATGCACGTGCCAAAAAATACAGGCATTATCTTACCAAGGTTGGTGACAAATCACTGAGCCACTGAAGATGCAGCCTCGATGAGAAACCAATGTTAAGCCCTCAATATGGCACCAATCTTTGAGAAAACCAGCCAGCAATGGGTGGCAAATTGATTACATCAAATTCCTTTTACTTTGGAGGGTGCCAAGTGACATGAAAGAGTATAGTCAACCTCTACTTCTTCATTTCATATTCACTCCCCAACCCCCTGTGATCTTGCTTTCTATCTCCTCTGCTCAACTAAAACTTCTTTTCATCATGTTTCTGTAGAGGATTAACAATAATCATCATATGGGTATTTTATCTTAGGTACAAGAAAGTATAGTAACTCAAATAGATTTTCCAATCTACCATTATTTTCATTAGTCAACATTATCTTAGCCAGAGAAGATGTGAACTCTACATTTTGTAATTCTACATTGTTTGAGTTTGAAAACCTTTGCTATAGCCTGGGAATAAGTTGTTTTTGGATCAGTTGCAGCCTCTTATGAACAAGATTAAAGATGAAAAAGTTGAAAAATGTGTATTACCCTATAATTGCAACTCAAAATCTAGCTTATTTTTCATGTTTCACATGAAAACAGATGTTTAACCTAGTAGTTCTCAACTTTAATATCCATATCAATCACCATCACGTATGGATCTTTTCAAAATGCAGATTCTCTATGACATCAGGAAGATTGAAGAATAGGAGGTCCCAGTTTTCCCTACCCTTCATAGAATGTTCAATTAACAACTGTACACAGACAAAAACTCCTATGTGAACACTTCAAAACTCAAGATTAAGCCTGAGAAACCTGTGTGAACTAAATAACCAAACAAAATGCCACATGAGAAGTGTAAAAAGAATAGCCTCACTCTGACCACATCACCTCTCCCTTTCTCCCAAGTCAGCACAACACCACTTAGAATTTTTCTAGGCCCACAGTTTCTACAGTAGGAAAAGAGAACTAGAGGTGGACATTCACGTTCCCTGTGTTCCAAGATACCTCCCCCAGGAAGCCAACTCTGGTCTCACCTTGCAAGGAGCATAGGGGTAATAGCATGGCTAGACTACCTGTGGTCAGGTAGAAACAGAGCAGGAAGGCAAAGCTCATAGTGACAAACATGCAGATCTTGGTGGTAGGTCTATGTAACCACCAGCAGTGGTATGTGATTAGGGGCATTAGCGAACAGTATTAACAAACCAACAAAGTCAAGCTGGTTGCCCCGGGAAATAGGAAGTTCTACCTGGCTTGAATCCCTAGACAATCAGCCTCCATGCCAGCCCCAGATCCTACCACAAAGCCTTGTCCAGAGGGGGAGATGACCACAGCATATTTTGGTAAAGTACAAGGGCTAGACCTGCCCCACTCAGAAGCCCAAACAGTGGTTTGGCTTAGTCTCAAAACCCACAACAGGGACCCAGCCAGGCAGGGAGATGCATACCACAGCCCATTATTAGCACAGTGTAGGGTCTAGAAATGCCTTACCTGGGGACTCTAACAGTGGTTCAACTCAGCCTCAAAATCATCCCCAAAGCCCACTCAGAGATGGAGATACTTGCCGCAGTGCATTTTGGCAAAGTGAAAGGGCTATATGCACCCCAACAAGGAATCCAAACAGTGGTTTGGCTCAAATCTCAAAGCCCACCCCAAGGTGCTACCCAGTCAGGAAGGCAAACATCAAATGTGCATTCCCACCAAGTGTAGTAGCTGTTCTCTCCATCCTGAGCAGTGTCCCCACTTAACTTTATGAGTAAGCCTGCAACCCCATACAACTCCAGAACTCAAATAGTGGTACCATCCAGCCAGGAAATACATCCTGTGGCCTGGCCCAGTCAGAGACAATCACCATCCGAGCAAGCAATTTTGTCTGATTGCATAGCTCATTTAGTGGTCATACCAAAAATCAGAGCCCAGCCAGTAGTCCCAACTGAACTCAGAGCAAAGACAAAAGCTGAGCCATCCGGAGAACCTGAAAGCAGAAAGCAAGCTCTACTTTCCCAGGGTTGGTACCAGTTGGCCAATCTAGAATGAAAGGCTAGACTAAATAATGAAAGTCTATCCCTGCCAACTAATACCTATAAAAAGAGGTAGCTACCTCCTCAAATGAACAGACAGCAGTGCAAGAACAAAAGGATTGTGAAGAATCGAGGAATGATGACACCTCCAAAATAAACTAATAAAACTCTTAACAATGGACCCTAAAGGAACGGAGATTTGCAAAATGACTGACAAAGAATTCTAAAAAGTCCAGGAGCTGGTTTTTTGAAAGGATCAACAAAATTGATAGACTGCTAGCAAGACCAATAAAGAAAAAAAGAGAGAAGAATCAAATAGACGCAATAAAAAATGATAAAGGGGATATCACCACCGATCCCACAGAAATACAAACTACCATCAGAGATTACTACAAACACCTCTATGCAAATAAACTAGAAAATCTAGAAGAAATGGATAAATTCCTCGACACATACACTCTCCCAAGACTAAAACAGGAAGAAGTTGAATCTTTGAATAGACCAATAACAGGAGCTGAAATTGTGGCAATAAGCAATAGCTTACCAACCAAAAAGAGTCCAGGACCAGATGGATTCACAGCCGAATTCTACCAGAGGTACAAGGAGGAACTGGTACCATTCCTACTGAAACTAGTCCAATCAATAGAAAAAGAGGGAATCCTCCCTAACTCATTTTATGAGGCCAGCATCATCCTGATACCAAAGCCAGGCAGAGACACAACCAAAAAAGAGAATTTTAGACCAATATCCTTGATGAACATTGAGGCAAAAATCCTCAATAAAATACTGGCAAACCGAATCCAGCAGCACATCAAAAAGCTTATCCACCATGATCAAGTGGGCTTCATCCCTGGGATGCAAGGCTGCTTCAGTATACGCAAATCAATAAATGTAATCCAGCATATAAACAGAACCAAAGACAAAAACCACATGATTATCTCAACAGATGCAGAAAAGGCCTTTGACAAAATTCAACAACCTTCATGCTAAAAACTCTCAATAAATTAGGTATTGATGGGACGTATCTCAAAATAGTAAGAGCTATCTATGACAAGCCCACAGCCAATATCATACTGAATGGGCAAAAACTGGAAGCATTCCCTTTGAAAACTGGCACAAGACAGGGATGCCCTGTCTCACCACTCCTATTCAACATAGTGTTGGAAGTTCTGGCCAGGGCAATTAGGCAGGAGAAGGAAATAAAGGGTATTCAATTAGGAAAAGAGGAAGTCAAATTGTCCCTGCTTGCAGACGACATGATTGTATATCTAGAAAACCCCATTGTCTCAGCCCAAAATCTCCTTAAGCTGACAAGCAACTTCAGCAAAGTCTCAGGAAACAAAATGAATGTACAAAAATCACAAGCATTCTTATACACGAATAACAGACAGAGAGCCAAATCATGAGTGAACTCCCATTCACAATTGCTTCAAAGAGAATAAAATACCTAGGAATCCACTTACAAGGGACATGAAGGACCTCTTCAAGGAGAACTACAAATCACTGCTCAATGAAATAAAGAGGATACAAACAAATGGAATAACATTCCATGCTCATGGGTAGGAAGAATCAATATTGTGAAAATGGCCATACTGCCCAAGGTAATTTATAGATTCAATGCTATCCCCATCAAGCTACCAATGACTTTCTTCACAGAATTGGAAAAAACTACTTTAAAGTTCATATGTAACCAAGAAAGAGCCCGCATTGCCAAGTCAATCCTAAGCCAAATGAACAAAGCTGGAGGCATCACACTACCTGACTTCAAACTATACTACAAGGCTACAGTAACCAAAACAGCATGGTACTGGTACCAAAACAGAGATATAGATCAATGGAACAGAACGGAGCCCTCAGAAATAATGCCGCATATCTACAACTATCTGATCTTTGACAAACCTGACAAAAACAAGCAATGGGGAAAGGATTCCCTATTTAATAAATGGTGCTGGGAAAACTGGCTAGCCATATGTAAAAAGCTGAAACTGGATCCCTTCCTTACACCTTATACAAAAATCAATTCAAGATGGATTAAAGACTTACATGTTAGACCTAAAACCATAAAAACCCTAGAAGAAAACCTAGGCATTACCATTCAGGACATAGGCATGGGCAAGGACTTCATGTCTAAAACACCAAAAGCAATGGCAACAAAAGCCAAAATTGACAAATGGGATCTAATTAAACTAAAGAGCTTCTGCTCAGCAAAAGAAACTACCATCAGAGTCAACAGGCTACCCACAAAATGGGAGAAAATTTTCACAACCTACTCATCTGACAAAGGGCTAATATCCAGAATCTACAATGAACTCAAACAAATTTACAAGAAAAAAACAAACAACCCCATCGAAATTGGGCAAAGGACATGAACAGACACTTCTCAAAAGAAGACATTTATGCAGCCAAAAAACACATGAAAAAATGCTCACCATCACTGGCCATCAGAGAAATGCAAATCAAAACCACAATGAGATATCATCTCACACCAGTTAGAATGGCGATCATTAAAAAGTCAGGAAACAACAGGTGCTGGAGAGGATGTGGAGAAACGAACACTTTTACACTGTTGGTGGGACTGTAACTAGTTCAACCATTGTGGAAGTCAGTGTGGCGATTCCTCAGGGATCTAGAACTAGAAATACCATTTGACCCAGCCATCCCATTACTGGGTATATACCCAAAGGACTATAAATCATGTTACTATAAAGACACATGCACAAGTACGTTTATTGCGGCACTATTCACAATAGCAAAGACTTGGAACCAACCCAAATGTCCAACAATGATAGACTGGATTAAGAAAATGTGGCACATATACACCATGGAATACTATGCAGCCATAAAAAATGATGAGTTCATGTCCTTTGTAGGGACATGGATGAAATTGGAAACCATCATTCTCAGTAAACTATCGCAAGAACAAAACACCAAACACCACATATTCTCACTCATAGGTGGGAACTGAACAATGAGAACATATGGACACAGGAAGGGAACATCACACTCTAGGTACTGTCGTGGGGTGGGGGGAGGGGGGAGCGACAGCACTGGGAGATATACCTAATGCTAGATGACGAGTTAGTGGGTGCAGCGCACCAGCATGGCACATGTATACATATGTAACTAACCTGCACATTGTGCACATGTACTCTAAAACTTAAAGTATAATAAAAAAAATTTAGTGAACTACAATAATATAAGGGTAGATAATTAAAAAAATTGAAAAATAATAAACAATATAACATGTTTGACAAATAGGAATAATAAAAATATAGAAATCTTAAAGAATAAAATGACTGAAATGAAAATGCAATAGAAAGCTCTAAGAACAGGCTCAATCAAGCAGAAGGGAAACAATCAATAAGCTAGAGACAAAACATTTAAAATAATTCAGTCAGAAGAGAAAAAATTAAGAAGATTGAAAAAGAATAAAGACAGACTCTGGATATGAAGGGAAACTATTAAGACCTAATATTCATCTAATAGGAGTTTTCAGAAAGAAAAGAAATAGAAAAGAGACCAGAAAGCATATCTGAAGAAGAAATTCTAAAGAACTACCAAATCTGGAGAAAGTTGCTAACATCTAAACACAGCAAATGCAGAGTTATCCAAACAAGTTTAAGCCAAATAGGAGTTATCCAAGATGTACAATAATTCAAATACCAAAAATTAAAGAAAAAGAAAACATTTTGAAAACAGCAAGTAATTAGAAGCATATCACATAGAAGGGAATATCAAAATAGCTGTCACTGGATTTCTCAACAAAATCTCAGGAGACCAGGAGAGAGTAGGATAATGTATTCAAAGTGCTGAAGGGAAAAAACAAGGCCAACAAGTCTACTTAACCCAGCAAAGTTGTCCTTGGCAAATGAGAGAAAAGCAAAAACTTTTCCAGACAAACAAAAGCTATGAGAGTTCATCACCACTAAATATGTCTTAAGAGAATTACTAAAGGAAGTTCTTTGAGCTGAATTAAAAGGCTGCTAATTAAAAATATAAAACATATGAGAACACAAATGCAATGGGATAAGAAATACAAAGTCATATCCAGAATATTCTAAGACTGTAATGATGATGTGTAAAGCAATTTTTTCCTATAGTACAATGGTTAAAAGACAAATCTATTAAAACACATAGAGCAAAAATAGTCAATGGATACACATAAGAAAATGATGTATATTTTGACATCAAAATCGTAAAATGTGGGAGAGGAGAAATAAAGTGTACGGTTGTTGTTGGCAAATAAAGCATACAGTTGTGATTGTTGTCAGCTTAGAATAGTATATCATATAAAAATAAAGACTAAAAACATCACCCAACACTACACAACTACATGGAAATTAAGTGACTTGCTCCTGAATGACTTCTGGGTGAACAATGAAATTAAGGCAGAAATCAAAAAAGTCTTTGAAATAACTGAAAACAGAGACACAATATGCCAAGATCTCTGGGATGCAGCAAAAGCAGTGTTAAGAGAAAAGTTTATAGCACCAAACAATTACCGCAGAAAGTTAGATATACCTCAAATTAATGACCTAGCATCCAACAGAATAGCTAGAAAAGCTAAAACAAAGCTAGCAGAAAAAAAAATAACTAAAACCAGAGCAGACCTGATTGAAATACACCAGAAAATTAATACCAAGAATCAATGAAACCAAAAGTTGATTCCTTAAAAGGATAAACAAGATTGATGGGCTGCCAGCTACAGTAACAGAGAGAGAGCGAGAGCAAGAGGAAGAGAGAGAGAAGATTCAAATAATCACATTAAGAAATGACAAAGGTGACATTACAGATGATCCGATAAATACAGAATATCCTCCAAGACTATTAGGAACACCTCTATGAACACAAACTACTAAATCTAGAGGAAATTGATCAATTTCTGGAAACAACCTCCCAAGATTGAATCTGGGAGAAATTAAAACCCTAAAAGACCAATATTAAGGTCCAAAATAGAAGCAGCAATAAAAATCTACCAACCAAAAAAGTCCTAGACCAGATGGTTTCACAGCCAAATTCTACCATGCATACAAAGAAGAGCTAGTATCAACTCTACTTAAACTATTCCCAAAAATGAGGAGAATGGACTCCCCCCTAACTCATTCTATGAAGCCAGCATCTCTTTGATACCAAAACCTGGCAAGTGAAAGTTTATAGCTACAAGTGCCTACACCAAAAAAGTAGAAAAATTTCAAATAACCTAGTGATGTATCTTTAAAAACTAAAAAAGCAAAAGCAAACAAACCCAAATTATTAGGAGAAAATAAATAATAAAGATCAGAGTAGTAATAAATGAAATGGAAACAAAGCATACAATACAGAAGATCAACAAAGTGAAAAGTTTGTTTTTTGAAAAGATGAACAAAATCAACAAAACTTTACCTAAGAGAAAAAGTGAAAAGACCCAAATAAATAAAATTAAGACATAAAACCAATACTGCAGAAATTAAAAGGATCACTTGCAACCATATGCCAATAAACCGGAAAATCCAGATAAAATAGATAAATTCTTAGATACATACAACCTATGAGGTTTGAGCCATGAAGAAATCCAAAACCTGAACAAACCAATAACAAGTAATGAGATCAAAGCCCTAATAAAAAGTCTCCCAGCGAAGAAAATCCCAGGACATGGTGGCTTCTCTGCTGAATTTTACCAAATATTATAGAGGAATTAATACCAACACTATTCAAACTATTCCAAAAAATATAGGAACACAGAATACATCCAAATTCATTCTATTAGGCCAGTATTACTCTGATATAAAACCAGAAAGAGACATATCAACAAAAGAAAACTACAGACCAATATCCCTGATGAACACTGCTGCAAAAATCCTCAACAAAATACTAACAAACTAAATCCAACAGCACATTAAAAATTTAATTCACCATGATCGATTGAGTTTTATTCTAGAAATGCTAGGATGATTCAACATATGCAAATCAATAAATGTGATTCATCACATAAAGTTAAAAACAAAAACCATAGGATCATTTCAATTGATGTTGAAAAGACAATCATAAAATAGGAGAAAATATTTGTAAACTATCCATCTGGCAAGGGATTAATAACCAGAATATATAAGGAACTCAAACAACTCTATAGGAAAATTCTGATCATCCAATTTAAAAATGGGCAAAAGATCTTGCTCAGAAGAAGACACATAAATGGCAAACAGGCATGTGAAAAAGTGCTCAGCATCATTGCTCATCAGGGAAATGCAAACCAAAACTACAAGACGAATCATCTAACCCTAGTTAAAATGGCTTATATCCAAAAGACAGGCAGTAAGAAATAGTGGCTAGGATATGGAGAAAAGGGAACCCACTATTGGTGGGAATGTAAATTAGTACAATCACTATGGAGAACAGTTTGGAGGTTTCTCAAAAAAAACAAAAATAGAGCTACCATATGACCCAGCAATGCCATTGGTAGGTATATACACAAAAGAAAGGAAATCAGGATATCTGAGAGATACCTGCACTCCCATGCATATTGCAACACTATTCACAATAGTCATGATTTGGAAGCAACCTGTTTGTCCATGAACAGATGAATAAAGAAAATGTGGTTAATGTACACAATCGAGTAATATACAGCCATGAAAAAGAATGAGATCCTGTTATTTGCAACAACATGGATAGAACTGGAGGTTATTACGTTAAATAAAATAAGCCAGGGACAGAAAGACAAATTTTCCATGTTCTCACTTATTTGTGGGAGCTAAAACTTAAAATAACTGGATTTATGGAGATAGAGAATACAGTAATGGTTACCAGAGACTAGGAAGAATAGTAGGGTTAAGGGGAGGAATGGATAATCGGCATAAAAATACAGTTAGATAGAATAAGTAAGATCTAGTATTTGATAGAACAACAAGGTGACTATAGCCAAACAATTTATAGTACATTTAAAAATAACTAAAAGAGCATAATTGCATTGTTTGTAACACAAAGAAAGGGTAAATGTTTGAAGTGATGAATATCCCATTTACCGCGATGTAATTATTATACACCGTATGCCTGTAGAAAAATATCTCATGTACCCCATAAACATATACAGTCACTGTGTACCCATAAAAATTTAAAAAGGAAAATATAAAATAAACAACCTGATATTACAACTCTAGTAACTAATAAAAAAAGAACAAACTAAACCCAAAGTCAGCAGAAGGAAGGAAATAACAAGGATCTGAATAGAAATAAACAAAATAGAGACTAAAACTACAATAGAAAAGAACTCAATGTAATAAAGAGTGTTTTTTCAGAAGGATAAACAAATCAACAAACCTTTAGCCAGACCAAGGAAAAAAAAGAAAGGACTCAAATATTAATACAATCAAAAGTGAAAAGGGAGACATTACAACTGATACCATAGAAATATAAAAGCTCATAAGAAAAAAAAGCTCATAAGAGAGTACTATGAAAAATTGTACAGTAACAAATTGAATAAAGTATAAGAAATAAATAAATTCCAAGATACATGCAAGATACCAAGACTGAATCATGAAGAAAAAGTATGAACAGACCAAAAATGAGTAAGAAGATTGAATTGTAATAAAGTCTCCCATCAAAGAGAAGCCCAGAATAGCTTTACTGTTGTATTCTACCAAACACTGAAATAATTAGCAATCCTTAAACTCTTCCAAAAAAAATCTAAGAGGAAGGAATACTTCACTTACAAACTTTTTTTACGTGGCCAACATTACTCTGACACCAAAGCCAGACAAGAACAAGAAAAAGAAAAGAAAAGAAAAGAAAAATTATAGGCCAATATCCCTGATGAACATAGATGAAAGAATCCTCAATCAAATACTAGCACACTGAATTCAACAGCACGTTAAAAAGATAACTTACCATGCTCAAGTGGATTTACCCCAAGGATACAAGGTGGATCAACATACATACATCTATAAATGTGATATACATTAACAAAATGAAGCCCAAAATTATATAATCATCTAATTAGATGCAGAAATAGCATTTGAAAAATTCAACATTGTTTCATGAAAAGATTCTCAACAGAGTTGGTTTAGAAGAAATATACTTCAACATAATAAAGACCATGTATTACAAGCCTACAGCTCACATTATATTCAACGCACCCTCCAAATCTCAGGCTGAATTGTGATCCCCAGTGTCAGAGGGGGTGCCTGGTGGGAGGTGTCTGTGTTATGGAGGTGAATCCCTCATGGGATGGTGATGGTATCCAACCCAACCCTCAGGAATGGGTTTGCATTTTACCCATAGTAGAGTTACCATCAGATCTGATGGTTAAAAAGAGTATGGGACAACCCCCTCCCCACCTAGCTCCCTTTCTTGCCATGTGACACAACTGCTCCCTCTTTGCTTTCTTCAATGAGTAGAAGTTTCCTTAGGCTTCAGAAGCTAAGCAGATGCTGATGCCATGCTTGTATTGACTGCAGGACCATGAGCCAAATAAACCTCTTTTCTTTATAAATTACTCAGTCTCAGGTATTCCTTTATAGCAACGTAAAATGGACTAACACAAATGTTATTGGTGATTTATGCAATGGCCATTTTAAGGGTGTGGTGGGGGGAAGCCATATTTAAATATATTGGAGGTGAGAAAGACATGAGGAAAAGATGAAGATTCCTTACTGTCTCTCAAGTATGGCAGGCATGCTCCTGCCTTGTGGTCCCTATACATGTCATCTCCTTTGCCTGGAATGCTCTTTTCCCAGATATTTATATTTCTTTCCCTAACACTCCCTTCAAATCTTTGACCAAATATCACCTTTTCGGTGAGGCCTTTCCTGACTAGCTATTGAAAATTCCACTCAGGGGAATTGAGAGATATTGGTCAAAAGGTACAATGTTTCAGCTAAACAGAATGAATAAGTTTTGGAGATCTACTGTACAGCATAGTGACTGTAGTTAACAGTCATGTGTTATACCATTGTCCCTAAATATCTGCAATATCAGGGGGGCGATTCGTTCCAGGACTCCCCAAGGACACCAAAATCCTGGGATGTTCAAGTCCCTTATATAAAATGATATCATTTTATATTTGCATGTAACCTACGCATATTTTTCCATACACTTTAAATCATCTATAGATTACTTATAATACTAATAAAATATAAATGTTTTATAAGTAGTTGTTATACTGCATTTTTTTATTTTTATTGCTTTTACTGTATTTTTTGTGGGTTTTTTGTACAAATAGTTTCTATCCAGTTGGTTGAATGCCTGAATGTGGAACTCATGGAAACATAGGGCCAAAAGTATACTTGAAATTTTTAGAAGAGATTTTAAATGTTCTCACACAATAAAATGAAAGTATGTAGAAGTGATAAATGTTAATTAGTTTGAATTAATCATTTCACCATGTATACATATCAAAAAATCATCTTGTATGCCACAAATGCATAGTTTTTTAATAAAAAATATCCAATCACCTATTATAAGGCAAGCGCATATTGAACAAGTGCCAAGTGAGCCTCATATACTGGATAATGATTCCATGGAAAGTAGCCTTGCTTAACTGGGAAAAGACCCAAGTGACAGAGTAGCTCCCTATGGAAAATCGTAACTGGTTTAAATGACAGCTTAAACTCCAGAATGTCTCACCAAACAGTCAAATGCTAGTTCTGTGAATTGTTTTTTCTTCTCATGTGAATCTGTATACTGTTTTTGTCAATTACATCTTAGTAAGGCTGGGGGTAAAATGCACCTCTGCCAGCTCCCACACACACTCCCTATTGACCTGACGTTTCTAATTTTTCTCCACGTTTCCTCATCACTCCCTAATATACTATAGTTTACTTATTTATTTAACACCTGTTGTCTCCCTTTGGAATATAAGTTCCACATAGGAATTTTTGTACATTTTGTTCACTGCTATGTGCATGAGCATTTAGAGTAGTCCCTGGAACATTCACAATCAATTATTATTATTGAATTAACTAATCAGTTTTTAATATTAAAATATAAATATAAATAATATAAACATGTATAGTAAATTTTACACTTAATTACAAACATTATGAATATAAGTGTGATGAAAGGAAAAATTTTAAATGTTAAATGGTTATGTTGTATTCTCATGCATATGTATGTTTTCTCAAATTTTTCTATAATAAACTTGTAGTTACTCTTGTAAAATATCAAAAGTGAGCATTTGTTAAAATAAACTCATGTAAATAAATTTCATGCTTTCTGAAATGGCCATTTCAGAGATGTAGCGTAGGTGAAGAAGAGATGAGGACTCCCTGCCGTCTCAATCATGCCAGGCGTGCTCCTGCTTCGTGGCACCTACACATGCCATCTCCTCTGCCTGGAACCCTCTTTCCCCAGATGTTTATATTTGTTGCCTCCACACTTCCTTCAAGTCTTTATCCAAATATCACCTTTATGAGATTTCTGAATTTTTTATTCATCTATAACATGCAAAAAGTACAGTGCACAAATCCTAAGTATATTGCTCAATGAATTGTTATCAACTGATACTCCTGTGTAAAGGTACCTAGTTCCAGAAACTGAATGTTATCAGCATCCCAAAATCCCAACCTTTTCATTGAGGCTTTCCCTAACTACCTATTGAAAATTGTGCCCAGGGGATATGGGGAGACATTTGTCAAAGGGTACAATGTTTCAGCTAAAAGGGATGAATAAGTTCTGGATATCTACTGTACACCATTAACCTTAAGAGAGATCTCAAAAAGGAAAAGAACTCACAAAAAAAAATTGCTGTAAAGGATACACATGAAAGGCACAGAAGGGAAGTGGAGGGAGTGCAGAGAACTGTGGGCTGAGTCTGAGCCTCAAGGCTTTTTCAGCATAAAATGCCACAAAGACTGTTGATAAGCAAGCCTGTCCCCCATTTACTAAACTTAGGCAATTAAAATTTTATCACTACCCAATGTATCAAAATTTTATCACTACCCAACACTGATTTAAGGACTCAACACTCTGACTTGAGAAAACCTGAAGTACAAAAAGTTACCACAAAGGTGGGTGAGACTCTCTGAGGAGCTCAAATATATGTCTTCAATGTGTTCTAATTGCAAATTACTTACAATTTGGCACAACATATTGGGAGAGGAGTAGTGGAGTGGTAAAAATCAAACCTAACTTCAAAATATTGTAAATTATGGCTCTAAGATCATTCTTAATGACCCAATATGTGCAGTGAGGCTCTTCTCTTCCTCCTCCATGTTACAGTTGAGAACACGAAAGACTAAGCCATTCACATTACCCCAGGGAAGGCAGAGGGAAAGGGCAGTCCAGGTGTCCTGAACTGTACTGCTCGCAGGGGAGGCCTGGCCCACCACTAAGTCTGGATACTTCCAAACCTATCCTTACATGAAAACAATATCTGCGGACCATTTCATTCCAATTGGTTTTGGGTCCTAGTTTCTGCCCAGTGGTCAAATCCAGAAACCCAATCAGGACCTAGTTTCAATGAGTGGCTCTGAGCTTAGCTAATTAATGGCTTCCTGTCCCAAGAAAGGTTTCTTGTTTTTGTTTGTTTAATTAATTGTTTGCTATTGCACTAAAATACTTTGTCTTACCTGACAATAGTGAGCTCAGGATTATCTTGGCACATTTGGTTATGTGGTTTGAGCCCTCCCAGAGTGTTACTGTCTACTAGTTACCCATTAAAGTTTAATAAGGCAGAAGACAATGAGCTTGCTAGAGATGTCACAGAGCCTTTGTTGCCATGGCAATAATTGTTGGACCAGATCACAGAGAAGTATGTAAGAGACAAGAAAGAGAGAACTGCAGGAAAAGCTGAAGCATAATAGTTTTTTAAAATAGTCTCTAAACTTATAGTGGAGTAATGTGTTTAAACTTGTGGGGAAAACTACTTTACGAGAAAGGCTGATTTTCCAACATCCTCTTAAGGAGATATGGTTTTGGTTTTATGGAAGAATGGTTTCTAAGCTACATTTCTTCTTCTTTTTTTTTTTTTTTTTTTTTTTTTTGAGACGGAGTCTTGCACTGTCACCCAGGCTGGAGTGCAGTGGCGCGACTTCGGCTCATTGCAACCTCCACCTCCCAGGTTCAAACGACTCTCCTTGCCTCAGAATCCCAAGTAGCTGGGATTACAGGTGCCTGCCACGATGCCTGGCTGTTTTTTTTTTTTCTATTTTTAGTAGAGATAGGGTTTCACTATGTTGGCCAGGCTGGTCTTGAACTCCTGACCTCATGATCCACCCGCCTTGGCCTCCCAAAGTGCTGGGATTACAGGTGTGAGCCACTGTGCTCTGCCTACATTTCATCTTAAAGTAAAAGTAAACGAATTGGGATTAATTTGGAAGCACACTGACTATTATAATACCAAGAACTTCATATGAAGGCAGATAGCCATTAAAATGGCAGAAATTCAACAAGATTTTTAATAGATGATTGGGTCAGTGAGAAATAGTTTTGATGTGCAATATGAAACCCCAAATATTCCAGGGGCTCCTGCAAAGTGTAAACTTGGAGTTTCCTTGACTTAGAAGTGAAAGAACAGCAGGATTGGAGGTGGGTGAAAGAAAGAACCTAGTGATCTAGGTAATGTCACTTTGGATAACATTTGCTCTAAATTGCTCCCAGCATCAGAGTAGAGCTTGGGAGGAGTGAGTCTGTATTTCAAAGCCCAGGGTTTCAGTCAGTGTGAATGAGACAGTGAGGATTATCCTGCCCTCTTGTGCTTCTGAGCCAACATACCAGGGCTTGAAGAGGAGTGGAAGGAAATGAAGAAGTCACAGAATGCCTGACTGAAGAAGCAAAGTGCAGAAACACATCGCCTCCCTCCCTCCCTATAGAAGTCAAACTCCCCCGAGACTGCTCATCACTATCAGCATGGGATGGCAGTATATTTACTTAATTAGCTAAAAGTGAATAGAGCTTAAAGTTTAGCCCTTAGGTGGGATTTTGCCGACATAGACTTCCTAGGACTTTTGTCCTATCAGAGTGGCCTGTTGTACTGTGAGCTTCTTGTGTCAAAGGTTAATTAATCTTGTCTATCCAGAGTCTAATGTTCAAATGCATGTTCATTTAATCAGGCTGTTTATAAAGTAAGTGGTTTAGTGACAAGATTATTTAAGAAAAAGTCCCCAAAAATATACTGTTGACCAGAGTAAATTAAAGGTGTAAACATTTAATAATGCCTAGAAGCCCTAATCAGAATAGATATAATTTTTACCATTCTAATCTTTTGAAAGAAACATCACAACTAGAAATGAAAAAGGTCATGTTACCACTGACCCCACAGAAATAAAAAATAACCATCAGAAACTACTACAACCACCTCTATGCACACAAACTAGAAAACCTGTAAGAGATGGGTAAATTCCTGGACACACCAATAACCTGCTCCAAAATTGCATCAGTAATAAATAGCCTACCAACCAAAATATATATATATTTTAAAAAGCTCAGGACTAGATGGATTCACAGCCAAATTCTACCAGATATGCAAAGAAGAGCCAGTACCATTTTTGCTGAAATGATTCCAAAAAACTGAGAACTGTCCAACTCATTCTATGAGGCCAGCATCATCCTGATACCAAAACCTGGTAGAGACACAACAACAAGAAAAAACTTCAAGCCAATATCATGGATGAACATTGATATAGGGCAGCTTATGATTAGTATCATGACAAAGACACAAAGATGGTAAAATAAAAATTCAAGGATGGGGCCAGGCATGGTAGCTCACACCTGTAATCCCAGCACTTTGGGAGGCTGAGGCAAGTGGATCACAAGGTCAAGAGATAGAGACCATCCTGGCCAACATTGTGAAACCCTGTCTCCACTAAAAATACAAAAATTAGCTGGGCATGGTGGCGTGCACCTGTAGTCCCAGCTACTCAGGAGGCTGAAGCAGGAGAATTGTTTGAACCCAGGAGGCGGAGGTTGCAGTGAGCTGAGATCACACCACTGCATTCCAGCCTGGGGACAGAACGAGACTATGTCTCAAAAAAAAAAAAAAAATGCAAGGATGGAAAAGGTGCTTTGCTTAGGGGAAGAGGGGAAAACATTCTGGGGGGAAAAATGTCTTTTGAACTGGATCTTGAAGGAGGGTTTTTACAGGTGTAGGTGGAGATAAATAGAATTCCAAACACAGAAAATGATCACAAAAAAGAGAACATAGGAAACTGAACCTATTCAGAGAATGAAATGCTGTCTACTGTCTAATTTATCTGTAAAAGAGAGTAGGGAAAGATAACACCAGGAAAGTAATTTGAAGTCAATTTGTGGAGAACTTGGGAACTTGAAATCATTGATGGCTTTTGGAGCAGACAACAAGATCAAAGCTATGTTTTAGGAGTTTCTAAGTATTATGATTAAGTGATAATAAAGGTCTGAATAAACATTTTCCTCCATAGTCTTTCAAAGTGGAAGTGTGCTTTTAGACAGATGTCTGTAGTCCTAGGGCATACATCCCTGATGTCCTCAACTACTTCACAGCACTTGGTATGAGCATTCACTCACACATGAGTGTTTAGCTACACTATATTGGCCCCTAAATGCCATAAAGTAAAAATAGAAGGGACACAAATAAAAGTCAATACTTCTTTCATGTTAATTGGGAAGTCACATGTTCCTCTCAAGTATTTCTGTCAATTAACTTAAATGTTGCTACTTCTTATACTTTTTTCTCATATCTAAAGGAATCTGCCAAAAAAGTGCCATCCTTCTAAAAGTTATTTCTAAATTCTGTAAGTTTTTGCTCAATATGTGACAATGTTGGAACATCAGTATTTTCCTCACTGGGCTGTATATCCTCCAACATATGCACAGTAACACTTGAAATGTTCCTAAACATTATGTCAGAACTTTTGGTAACATTTTGTATCTTATTTCTCCTCAGACTGTGTCTTCTGGAAGATTTTTTGGAATCCGTCTGGTGGGCAAGCTCTTTGTAAATAATGATGTCTTAGAATAGTTGTCATTACTCTTTACTGATTCTTCAGAGAATATCTAATCATTAACTTTTTAAAGATTCATTGGCTTGGAAGATAACTTTCCTAATGCTATAGAAGCTACATCCCAGGAGAAAGTGAGTTTTATAAAGTGCATTTTTAATTTTGGGGCCACAATAAAACTGTCTAGCTGGAGGCAGAATATGGTTTATAAAATAAATCATTTAGAGATTTGGTTCATGTCAAAACGATGATGGCTTCACCTTTTGAGCACTGCTGAGAATCATGACACTCCCATGTCAATCCGTTTCCATAATTTCCTAATGTTGGTTTATTAATGTTTCTGGTTGGAAGCCAATTAAAGAGGCATCTATTACTAAAAGAGGCACAAACATAACTTCTAACTAGTCATACCAAAAGAATTCCTAGAGCACTGGTGTAGAGATCAAATTGGAAGAAAAACTTCTGAAAATTTGTGTTTCTTCTCAAAATGCAAGCCCTCTTGACATCTAGAACTCACATCCCTCCATATTTCTGAGGAAAAAAAAGTTTTTTCAGGTAACTCAAATCCCTAAATACATTTTTAGAAGAATGTAGGAGGAAGTTTACCTATAACAAAAAAAAGTGTTTAATTTCTGTCATTTAGTAAAATTTTTCAATTTTATAAAAAGCATATAAGGAAAATCAATCTCCAAATTTTATGAAATACCTTCAAAAATAAAGTTTAATGTCTAGATCTTTGCAAACTTTTGTACATAATGACTAAATCAATACTGTATTGATTTTATCAATATAATAATCACTGTATCAGTTTATGAAATTAAGGTAAAAGATTAATCAGAAACTTAAAGCCTTCCCTTTCTACAGAAAACAATGCAGCTTTACAATATTAATATTAAAAGTCAATATTGGTAAGCAACATTAGATAATCACTTAAGCTAACAACAGCAGCAATAGAAATTCAGAGATAATGGCTTTAACGTGATAGCTACCAATTTATTTTAAAATATGTGCATTTCTTTTGCATATGTAAATAATGTTAAGTAATATGTTTAGCTGAAATGTAAATGGTCAAAACTTTCCTTGCTGAGTCTATTGCACTATAAGTTGGGTTTGCAGTAAGAAACTAACACATTTGTGCCTTCTCAAAGTACTAACTTTGGGTTGTATGCTATCCAGAAACTATATTAAATCATTTCTGTCCCAAAATAATGACCTTACAAAAGGAATTTAACTTTACCTAGTTCTATCACGATTGCATATTAAGGAGAGATTTAGAAGCTGGCAGAAGTTTTTGTTCAATCAGCTACCTACTAAGCCCAAAACTCATATACTGTATAGCCAAGAAAAAGTAAACTATATTCTCTTCCTAATTATTCTTTTGAAAAATGACTTCATGTTCATTGTCTTCTCTTCATTCTTAAAAAAGGAACTCATTTTGTAAAAGAGTCCTGACTGATAATGTGTCTCTTGACCTTGCAGGTCACTGGCCCAATGAATGTCTCTGAGCCAAATTCCAGCTTTGCTTTAGTAAATGAATTTATACTCCAAGATTTATCTTTTGAGTGGACAATTCAGATCTTCCTCTTCTCACTCTTCACTACAACATATGCACTGACCATAACAGGAAACGGAGCCATTGCTTGCGCCCTGTGGTGTGACCGGCGACGTCACACTCCCATGTACATGTTCCTGGGAAATTTCTCCTTTTTAGAGATATGGTATGTCTCTTCTACAGTTCCCAAGATGTTGGTCAACTTCCTTTCAGAGAAAAAAACCATCTCCTTTGCTGGATGTTTTCTCCAATTTTATTTCTTCTTCTCTTTGGTACATCTGAATGCTTGATTTTGACTGTGATGGCCTTTGATCAGTACCTTGTTATCTGCCATCCCTTGCACTATCCTAATAAATCATGACTGGGCATCTCTGTGCCAAACTGGTCATACTGTGCTGGGTTTGTGGATTTCTGTGTTTCCTGATCCCCACTGTTCTCATCTCTCAGATGCCCTTCTGTGGTCCAAACATTAATGACCATGTTGTGTGTGACCCAGGGCCACTATTTGCATTGGCTTGTGTCTCTGCCCCAAGAATCCAACTGTTTTGCTACACTCTAAGCTCATTAGTTATTTTTGGTAACTTCCTCTTTATTATTGGATCCTATACTCTTGTCCTGAAAGCTGTGTTGGGTATGCCTTCGAGCACTGGGAAACATAAAGCCTTCTCTACCTGTGGGTCTCATTTGGCTGTGGTATCACTGTTCTATGGCTCTCTTATGGTCATGTGTGTGAGTCCAGGACTTGGACACTCTATGGGGATGCAGAAAATCAAAACTTTGTTCTATGCTATGGTGACCCCACTCTTCAATCCCCTTATCTATAGCCTCCAGAATAAGGAGATAAAGGCAGCCCTGAGGAAAGTTCTGGGGAGTTCCAACATAATCTAAGCCATATTAGATTATTCCTCCATGATCAGATCAGTACAGTCTAACAAAGAGAAATCAGAATTATATAGTTATTTAAATCTAAAAAATATGGATCTAGTGATATTGACTATATCAGCCTATGAAATTAAACACCTGTTGGGCCCCTTACAAATTAAAGTTGCCAAATTATATAGATAAATGGAAGCGTGTGGCTTCCCTTTGGCACCTAGACTGAGTATTAACTGAGGAATGTACATATTTGGGTGTTTTCTGGATAGTTTCCATCTGATTCATCTGTAATAAAAATTCTTTAAGTTCTATTTGACTTAAATTTATTGTTCTGACATTGACAAAATTACATCTATGTTATTTTGTTTGGTTGGTTGTAAATAAAAGAAGAAAAAACATATTTTCTGATTGTGATTCCTATCATATTTGGCTTTATTATTTGGTGACATGGTCATTTCTAATAAATAAGCCCTTATAAGCAATTTATCAACATTTTTGTGGGACAATAAAATATTCTAGCCTAATGACATCCAAACATTACTTCCTTCTGAGCCCCTAAAGGGCAGATTCTAATTCCATCTATAGTAATATCAGTCAAAATATTCACAAATGCATTCTTCTAAATGCCTAATATTTTTACCTAAATAAGGTATCACCAAAAACGTGATGGGTCAATTTATTGAGTTTTAGATAATAGAATATCTCCCCCTAAAAATTGGACAGGGCAATGGTGTACTTGTAGATACACTGCTTAAGTTCAAAAAATAAAATCAATGGCAGTTCATTGTCATTTGTTGCTAAAAGAATGTGAAAATAACATGAAGGAAAATTTTTAAAGGAAAAAAGCATTTATAGTTCAATTGCTCTAATGTATCTATTTTTGTTAATATGTCTGTTTCATGTGATTTAATGTTGAACTTGCTCCCATTTATAGCAAGTTTTCATAATTATCATCCTTAGAAAGCATAATATTTTATTGAACTAACATGCCATGAATTGTGAATTTTTATGTGGGGAGATGAACATTGTCCTAGACGAAGGGCCTTCTTTCCAAGAAGCTAAGAGCTGACTAGTAAAAGGGAATTTTCAGAAGGGATATTAGGAGAAAAATGAATGCCTCTACTACACAAGAATGACTTCTCACAGAATTTGTACTGTGGCATTCTGGGGTAAGGTTACTGAACACTCCAACACCTTCCTTCCTTCTACCACCAATTTTTTTGATGAACATTACAGTTATCCCATTTTTTGTTATAAAATAATATCTCAATAAAATCTCCATAAAGATTTGCCTTGATAATATTTTGCAAACCTGAATTAGGACTCATCATCTAATCTGAAACAGACTGTCCCAGAAAATACAGAATATAAGAATATGATGTATGTGCAACAATTTTCCTTTCAGATTTTTTGTCTTATAACAGTTTATTGGGAAAGAGATCATTATTCAGTTCAAAAGGTAGGAATGCATTTGTGAATTGGGGCCTGGACATTCCAGGTAGAACAATTATTTGCTCCTTTGATGTAAGACAGTATCAAGCTTTTAGTCAATCTTATTAGAACTCTGCCATATCTCTCACTTGTATAGCCGCTGAGGATCTTTCCTGTTTCCATACTCCTTTCCAGGGTATATGACTTTTAAGTTACCTGAGTTCTGATCAGCAAATGGACTCAGGAAGAACAGGTAGTCAAGGCAGGCAATATTTCCACCACAGTTTCGGAACTCCCTACTTTGTGGTACTAAGTTAATACATTTGTGCAGCCACTACCTTTTCAAAGGTTTCTTCTTACAACCTCAAATACTATGACTGGTTCACAACCTTTTCCATAGTGCTAAATTATTTGACCAAACACCGCATATATACCATATTTTTTCAAAGCCAAACTGTATCCCAAAGAGAGAGAAGGAGAGAGAAAGAATAGCAGTAAAAATACAGTGTTATTTCAGGTTGATATTTAAAAACAATTGTGCTGGTTAATGGTTTCCTCGGGGGAAATGACAATTGAAAGTCGGTATTTTCTACTTTCAAATACAAGTCATGGTGTTTATTCGCTGCCTTTACAACTGAATAGATGGAATTCGCTGAACAAACTTTGATTCTACCCTCAATTACAACTAATTCCCTCACAAAGCAAAATTTATTTCACAACTAAACATTATGTACATTCAAGATTACTAGAAAACTTAGGACATAAGGTGCAAGTGCGACAATATTAGGAGAAAAGAAAGAGTGTGTATCAGTTTAACAGGTTTTCACATGCAAATTCACCACCACAGGGTTCGCTGTCTTGGCAACATTGAAAATAATAATAATTAACGTTTTAAGACACCTATTTTGTGTCAGGCAATGTTCCAAGTCTTTTCTATGTATTATTTTATTTCCTACTTATGAAACCCAAAGAAATTGGGTTGGTATTATTGTATCTCTAATTTTTGAAGAGTGAAACAGGCAGAAAAGGTAACTTGCCTAGTTGGAGATGGCATCTGATCTCAGGCAGGCTAACAATGGAGCCCACAGTTTTTACTACTATTAGGGGAAAAGACCAACACTATCGAATGAAATAGATTGGATCAAATCTAAGTCACTGATTGTGTGAGCTTATGCAAATTATTTGACCTTTCTGCCTAGATTTGTTTAGACTATAAAATAGAACTAATGATAATACTTTTGTCAGACAGTGGATTTGATGATTAAATGCGGTAAATCAAGGTAGGATCTTACACATAGTATTTATGGAATCTATTTCAGTTAATATTATTAATGTCTTTCATTTGTAGGGCTCTTCAGCATTTCCCAAACACTTTTATATAGTTGTTCAGTTCATCCTCACAAATTCTGTCATCACACAGTTAAGGTAGACATTCCCATACTCATTTCACTGATGAGATTCAAAGAAATCAAGTATACTGTCCAAGGTCACCCATAGTAAGTGAAGGAACCAGTTCTTCTGACTTCAAGTTCAGTAAGAATTCTGCTGTACCATACATCCTATTCTGGGAAATGTGGCTAAGTCCTGTGTAGCTAACTTCAGAACTACATGGCCATGCAAGCCAAAGAGCTGGATTTACCCCAGAAATGAATACTGTAGAGAAGAAATGAGTGAAGTAGAAGAACTAAGGGATTTCTTTCCAGTAGTTTTAAGGTAATAACTAGTCAAATTATACAAATATTTATGTAAAACGTATTTCACGTGCAAAATATGTCACTGAGTGAAAATGGCAGATCATGAAACAATAGTATTATATAATCTTACACAAACATGAAGTCATGGGATTATGGGTAATTAAGATTCGTTGTTTCCTTTTTTATGCTAATATCTTTATTTCCTAATTTTTCCATGACAAATATGCATTTTTTGATCAATTTACAAACAACATGGAGTAACAAAAAATTAGTGTTTACAAATGGATGCATAATTTAAAGCAATGCTTTTAGACACACCACTTACCCACACTTCCCCTCCACTTTGTGTGTAAGGGAAAGGATAATGCTACTGTCTTTGGTAAGCTTTTACCATGTCTTTACAGAGCTTCTCAAGTACTTTTCCATGTGGGGTCACTTTGTGGAGAGGAGTTAATTTGGCACCCTAGTCCTTCTATTTCACTCAGAACCAGCTTTTTCTGCAAAGGAAAGAGTGGTCCTTGATAGCAAACCCTGGCCTTGTGGTTTTCATTCTAGATGCTTAGAGCAACAACAACAACAAAAACAAAAGACAGAGACAGAGACAGAGAGAATGGAGGAACATGTCATACAATCAAATGAACCTTCCCAATCAAGAACTTTACCTGGGAACCTCCCATCTACACTTGTACACATCTCTCCCCCCAAGCTCCCTGCTTACTACTAATACAAGAACCAACTTTAATTAAAAGAGGGTTTGAATTGTTATGTTTTTGATACCTACCTTTTTTTTTTATTATACTTTGTTTTAGGGTACATGTGCACAACCTGCAGGTGTGTTCCATATGTATACATGTGCCATGTTGGTGTGCTGCACCCATTAACTTGTCATTTAGCATTAGGTATATCTCCTAATGCTATCCCTCCCCCCTCCCCCCACCCCACAACAGGCCCCGGTGTGTGATGTTCCCCTTCCTGTGTCCATGTGTTCTCATTGTTCAATTCCCACCTATGAGTGAGAACATGCGGTGTTTGGTTTTTTGTCCTTGCGATAGTTTGCTGAGAATGATGGTTTCCAGCTTCATCCATGTCTCTACAAAGGACATGAACTCATCATTTTTTATGGCTGCATAGTATTCCATGGTGTATATGTGCCACATGAACTCAAACAAATTTACAAGAAAAAAACTAACAACCCCATCAAAAAGTGGGCAAAGGATATGAACAGACACTTCTCAAAAGAAGACATTTATGCAGCCAAAAGAAACATGAAAACATGCTCATCATCACTGGCCATCAGAGAAATGCAAATCAAAACCACAATGAGATACCATCTCACACCAGTTAGAATGGCGATCATTAAAAAGTCAGGAAACAACAGGTGCTGGAGAGGATGTGGAGAAATGGGAACACTTTTACACTGTTGGTGGGACTGTAAACTAGTTGAATCATTGTAGAAGTCAGTGTGGCGATTCCTCAGGGATCTAGAACTAGAATTACCATTTGACCCAGCCATCGCATTACTGGGTATATACTCAAAGGATTATAAATCATGCTGCTATAAAGACACATGCACATGTATGTTTACTGCAGCACTATTCACAATAGCAAAGACTTGGAACCAACCCAAATGGCCAATAATGATAGACTGGATTAAGAAAATGTGGCACATGTACACCATGGATACCTACCTTTTATTTATCTGTGTTTATTATAAGAACATATTTTAAACGTTTATCTCTTCTGAGTTTTTATTATGAGCAAACTGGGCACTCATCTCTTTTAAAGAACATAAGCCATTTATCTATCAAAAGTATATACTACTAGTCATCTTAATAAAAACAGAACCATTTTTAAAAGATAATAATTCAACTATGGCCAAAGAAGCAAAGTATCTATGGTTGGAATAAATAATTATTACTTTTTATTAAGTAATTCAATTACTCCACATTTTACTTAAGTGTTGGAAACTCAAGATCTATCCAGGGACTCAAATTTGCTGCACATAGTAGACTTAGATTCAGCTGCATATAATAGAAACTCAAGCTACAGTAATTTATGCAACATAAAGGTTTAGTTTTCTTCTCTCATGCGTGCTTCTAAAGATAGTCAGTCCACTGCAGTCCAGAGGTGGGCAGTGCCAAGATATCATCAGGGACCTAGGCTTCCCTGCCTTTTTGACAAATCTTTTGTAGTATGTGTTTCTTTCCTTAAGTTCACCTTATTACCTGAAGATGGCTGCTGAAGTGTCAGACAGCGGCAAAACTATATTCCGTTTATATATCGGAACATAAGCATGTCAAATGATAATCACCATAAACAGAAGAGACTGCAACATCTAATTTTTTAAACTGGGCACATTCTCAAATTGAATAAAATTGAGGTTGTATTAGTTAGGAAGATAATAAAATTGGGTGTTAAATATGTAGCTAACAAACTTTGCCACACATGTATTGGGTATAAAATTAAGAAAATGGACATAAGTGATAGAAGTTTAGAAGTAGCCCCTCTTCTCAAAAGCCTCACTCTAGGAGGTTGATACACCTCTTAAGCAAAACTTTATACCCAAATGAACTGCAAAAGAGACAGAGTTGGTGGATAGAAAAGTTTTTAAAAAACAAAAATGTTGATAAGCCAAAAAAAAAAAAAAGACACTACAAAAACTCTTGCAAATGTCTATGGAAAAAAATAAATTTAAATTTATTTCCCCTATTCTCCACAGAACAAAAGGCCCACATACGGTGCTTGAAAAATAAATGCTTGGAATGGTGCTGGGAAAACTGGCTAGCCATATGTAGAAAGCTGAAACTGGATCCCTTCCTTACACCTTATACAAAAATCAATTCAAGATGCATTAAAGACTTAAACGTTAGACCTAAAACCATAAAAACCCTAGAAGAAAACCTAGGCATTACCATTCAGGACATAGGCATGGGCAAGGACTTCATGTCTAAAACACCAAAAGCAATGGCAACAAAAGACAAAATTGACAAATGGGATCTAATTAAACTAAAGAGCTTCTGCACAGCAAAAGAAACTACCATCAGAGTGAACAGGCAACATACAAAATGGGAGAAAATTTTCACAACCTACTCATCTGACAAAGGGCTAATATCCAGAATCTACAATGAACTCAAACAAATTTACAAGAAAAAAACTAACAACCCCATCAAAAAGTGGGCGAAGGACATGAATAGACACTTCTCAAAAGAAGACATTTATGCAGCCAAAAAACACATGAAAAAATGCTCACCATCACTGGCCATCAGAGAAATGCAAATCAAAACCACAATGAGATACCATCTCATACCAGTTAGAATGGCAATCATTAAAAAGTCAGGAAACAACAGGTGCTGGAGAGGATATGGAGAAATAGGAACACTTTTACACTGTTGGTGGGACTGTAAACTAGTTCAACCATTGTGGAAGTCAGTGTGGCGATTCCTCAGGGATCTAGAACTAGAAATACCATTTGACCCGCCATCCCATTACCGGGTATATACCCAAAGGACTATAAATCATGCTGCTATAAAGACACACACACACGTATGTTTATTGCGGCATTATTCACAATAGCAAAGACTTGGAACCAACCCAAATGTCCAACAATGATAGACTGGATTAAGAAAATATGGCACATATACACCATGGAATACTATGCAGCCATAAAAAATGATGACTTGATGTCCTTTGTAGGAACATGGATGAAATTGGAAATCATCATTCTCAGTAAACTATTGCAAGAACAAAAAACCAAACACCACATATTTTCACTCATAGGTGAGAACAATGAGAACAAATGGACACAGGAAGGGGAACATCACACTTGGGGGACTGTTGTGGGTTGGGGGAGCGGGGAGGGATAGCATTGGGAGATATACCTAATGCTAGATGATGAGTTAGTGGGTGCAGCGCACCAGCATGGCACATGTATACATATGTAACTAACCTGCACATTGTGCACATGTACCCTAAAACTTAAAAGTACTGTAATAATAAATAAATAAATAAATAAATACACCAAAAAAATAAAATAAATGCTTGGAACAAGAGATGAGAAAACTATTTTAATGTCTCCAAAGGCAAACTTATGTCATTGTTATTGCAAGAACAGAACAGAAGCAGAAAAAATATTCAAAAGGGCTTCAGTCAAGTCAAACAAAATATGAATTAGAGTATGGGGACTTTTCTCTCTTTGGGAGATTAAATTACCAAAACCCAGTTCTGGCTTTGATTTTTTGACTTCCTTCCCAAAAGTTTCCCACTGGCCTGTGTCCTCTGGAAAACAAGATCCGACCATTCAGATAAACATCCATCTTTCCTCTTCTCCCTCTATTCCGTAATCCCAACTTCAGTAGGAAGGTCATGTTCCTTCAGCAAGACTGTGGGTCCCTCTTCAATTGTACTGCCATAAAGGGAGCACTGGGATGGGGAGGTAGAAATGGAGAGATGATGGGGTGCTCTTACTGCAAGGAAAAAAACTCTCCTGGAAAATGGAGATGGAACTTGTTCTTTCAGAGATAGGAGGATATTATACAAAGTTAGTGGGAACTGAAATCCCCAAATCAGACTGAAAAAGAGGAAATCAAAAATAGAAAAGGTAGCTGGGAGGGGAAAGGGAGAGAATATGATGCAATTTGGGGAGATGTTAAGAGGTTAACAAAGCACTCTCCTTCTTCCCTAGAAATTCCCACCTGACAGTTAATAACAAGGGAGTCACACCTGTGTGTGACAGAGGGCAGCCAATGGCCATTGTGGAGGAAAGAATCACCGAAAAAAAGGCTTTACTCTTGCTGCACGATAAAGTGGAAAAAAAAAATCCTTCCTGAGAAAGTTCAACCTTGTCTCTGCTGACTTCCATTTTCTCTGCTCAGAGGTAAACAGCCGCTAGATAAGCCTTGTGGACAAGGTGGAAGAGCAAGTAAGTAGAAACTGACAGGGCAGAAAGCAGAAATGAAGAATCTCTCACACAGAGAGACTCTGCCCCTCTCCAAGGGAAGCCAGAGGCTTGAAGCCAGGCAGGGATTAGGTGGCATTTAAGAGGAATCTGTGTGTTAAGACTTGCCACAATTTAACTGCTCAAGTAAGGAGCTGTCATTTGTGGATAATGTAAGTATGCTTCAGGTGATACTATCAAACTTGATTTCCTGAAAGCAAAGGACCACTGCATAGCTCAGAATTCTATATTCCTAGGATCTCTACCTCAAAACCGTTGCGTCTTCTTGGTCTGAGATTTACCCCAGCCTCTGAAATCTCCCTGAATGCTAGAATAGAGAGGGAAGCCCAAGAATAACAGGGCATGCTATTTGACACAGTCAGGGCTCAAGAAACAGACTTTGAAAAATGTGAGGAAATAGCCATGGAAATAGGATGATGGAGCACCAAATGTATTGAATGATATCCACAATGAGGTGGATGGCTTTGCAAGGTTGAGTCATCTAGATGATTCATTCCCAGGACCTTCTCAGGCCTCCTCTGAACTTTTCACTGAAATCTGAGGCATGTACACTACTCATGCTCCAGCTCCCTTTGAAGAGACATTATTACTCAAGGAAAGGCAGCTTCTGTGCTTCCAGAGCCAGCTTTCTGTGGTCACCCAGCAATGTTATCTCAAGAGAAAGACACAGAAATCCATGTCCTTTGATAGAAAATCCTCCTTTGCTCAAGGGCATGAGTTACTGAATAAGTCCAAGGAGGGTGACACTTTTCATTCTTGTTTGATGTCTGTCATTCTCAGAGCACCAGCCTGATCTGCCTCTTTCCATCTTTTCAGGGACCCAGATAGGGGACACATGATTATTGCTGATTTCATAATAGGCAACTGGAGGCTTTACCATGAAAGATGAATAAGTAAACAGTGCAACTTGGAGGTAGGGCTGGCCACCTACCACTTGGTGGCCAACGCAGGGACTGCTCACCTCCTGCTGCTGTTTCTGGAGCCTGTTGATCAGCAGCAGCTGCACAGCTACCACCGCTTTACCCGGTAGCTTCAGAAGGAGGACTATTTTGATTTACCCCAAGGTGAGGTTGAGTGGGATGCCTTCTGTGAGTGACTTTGGAGAAGGCTAAGGAAAGCCAGATGAGAAAGAGAGGATTAGAAGCTGTGAGAGGTTTAACCAGGCAGAAATCTCTCCCAGCAGGGGCCTGGATTGCCATCACATCACTGAAGGGAGGGCTCACAAAAGTGGTCTGCAGGCAGTGCTTACTCCAAGCCCGCTTTTTACACTGAAAATGATAGTTGAAGACAACATATTTGAAAGCACCTGCAAACAAAGTTCTTTCAAAAAACAGTTCTGATACCCTGCTAGTCCTCTCACACAAGGCATTCCCTTAAAAAAGAATATGCAAAAATGGGTTGGAGAATGCTATGTGCATTTTTCAAAATGAATTCCTTCTGCCTCCACTGAAAGCAATGTGTTCACTTGTTTGATAAAAAGCTACTTTATTCCAGAGGAATGAGGCAAGAATCAATGAGCTACTTGTCAGTGTTCTAAAGCTAAATTGCAAATTCAGAGTTTCTCTAATTCATGAGGTTCTCACAATAGTAGTATTGCATGAGTGAGAACAATAGTTGTGATCCTGTATTACATATGAGGAATCCAAGCACATAAAGATTAGGTGACTTACCACTGTGGCACAGCAAACTGGATCTGGTGCTCATCCTCTGAGTCACAGTCCAGGGCTCTGTACTCTCTACTGTCTTCCGCTTACCTCCAACTGATGACAGCTTACCTTGCTACGGAGTTAAATGGGCAAAAACGAGGTAAACATCTTAAAAATACACACGTTATCTATTTCTGAGAATATTTTCACAAATTTACAGAGATTTTGCATAAAATTATAAGTGCCCCCAAACAGAAGGATAAAGTACATTGATAAAAATGGACTATAATGTTCTCATTAAGAATCATGTTTCAAAGAACACATAGTGCTATGGGGAAAGACACATGATATATTAAACAAAAGTATTAACAAAACTGCATGCACTACGATTCCAATTTTGAAAATAATTACATAGATATCTAATATACGAAATACAGAGAAACAGAGGAGGCTAGAAATGGTCTTAGAAATGGTATTGTGGATGATTTAAACTTCCTATACTTTCCTGTGTTATTATTTTTTTCTAAAATAAGCACATGTTGTTTTCATAATATTAAAATAAATTCTCTTTTGTAAATGGAAACCTTAGTGTAGACTAATTAGTTTAATTCTCTACTTTTTGTTGGCATGACATGAGCTTGAGAGAAAGTATAAATGTCTAAATCTGGAAAAACACAGCAAAAAAAAAAAAGGTAAAAAGTCACTGCAAACAATTTCAGAGACCATCTGTTAGACAAATGGGCCAAAGAGGGCTTCTTTATATAGCCCCCTAGGGTGTTTACTTCTTTACAGTAAGCTGAATCCTGTTAACTCAAATGCCATAGATAAGATAAATTCTGGGGCTGTAAAGACCCCAAGTTGCTGCTGTACTTTGGAGCTCTCTGACACAGAGTCCACACTGGGCTACTCAGCAACATCACCTAGACAAGCAAATCTCTCTCTTATCGCCCTCTCCCCCGAGCGCTCTCTAGTCCTCCTCCCCTTCTGGATAGAGGCCTGATGCCATAGCCTCTGAAAGGTAATGCATTGAGGGACTATCCCTGCATGAAAAGCTATCTAAGCAGCTCCCCCAGGAAAACTGCCACCTCAGGGTCAGCTCCTCAAGTTTTGGCTCAGAAAGTGAAAGACTTCCACACACATTGCTTCAGGGAAAAAAAAAAAAAAATTAGCAATTTATTCCTTAATAGAGTTGGAGTACTTGTAGTCCTGTGGCATAACCCTGGGACTTTGCTGACCACAAGTCCAGTATTTCATCCCCCCTCCTTTTGTCTGCTGTCAACTAGTGTTCCTTAGAAAATATTATTATTGTTATCAATGTTAATAAAACTTCACGTTCTAATTAGCCTTAATATTTTCCATTACAGTTTTTTATGTTGTTGAAATCAACCTGAATGGTTTTTTTCTTGAAATATCTTAGATCGTATCATGGAATTTCAAGATTGAAAGAAATTTGCATCTGATGCTTAGATACCCTCTCCCACTTTCCCAACCTATATCTGACAAAAGCAACTGATAGAAAGTATTGTTCTTCAGCTCGTTCCATCATTGCATATATTTCTCTGTTAAAAAGTAAGTCTCCATGATGAATTAAAATGTGTCACCCTATAGAATTATAGTAATTCTGTACTTTAGAGATTAAATGGGACAAATTCAATTGCTTTATTAAATAATTACCCTTCATTTGTTTCAATAAAACTTTTTGTTCTCCAATTTAAATATCCCAATTCCTTCTACTGTTACTCATTTTCCGTACTTCTAAGTCCCCTCTAGTTGTTCTTCGCCAAATTCACTATAGCTTGACAATGTACTTCTTAAGTGAAACTAAAATGACAAATTCATGAAACAAGTGGGCAAATAGTTTAAAGTTAAGTACCACTAAAACAGATATTGATCCAAAAATCTCAACATAAGTACAGAACCCTTGGGGCTGGCACATGTGCAGAATTGTAGAAAGAAGGGAAGAGATAGATAAGCCTTTGAAGCATTTTGTAAATTCTTTGCCATAACTGACTTCTGTCTTTATATCCTTGGACTTCATAGAACCCCTTGTTCTTACATTTTCAGTCCTAAATCCAGTATCATCTATTTTGTGGGAAAACATAGCTATGTTAGTATAAAAACATATATCAAGGCTTCCAATTATATTTGATATTCTGATTCAGGCTTAAGGTCAACTGATTATTCAGATTAGACCCAGGCCTCATCATCTTTCCCTTTTTCCCTAAAGGCTGAACCAATTAAGATCTCAGTTAAGAAACACTTTTTGAGATCTTCCCAAAACTTTCTCACTGTTATCCCTAGATGAGTCCACTTGGAAATGTTGGATGATCCAGAAGGGTCAAAAATAAACCTTGGCACATTTATTTAAAAATGAAGCAGGTGGAGACTGGAGGTCAGCAGTGAAGACTGAGTGTACACACAGCGTGCTCTTAGTCACCACTCCTCCAAGAGGAGCTGTCCAGGGTATGATAGCCATGGCTCAAAATGTGTCTGCTACATACTCTCCTAAAGAGTCAGGTGTAATCGGTGCTTCCTAAATCAGGAAAGACTGCAGTGCCCTTTACATCCGCTTGTAACCACAATATGGTTATTGGGTGGGCTCCAAATAACTGCTATACTTGATAATGTTACCTTCCAACACTGACCCTTTTAAAGGCCTTCTAAGAAATTTTGGATGTGAGCGCCACTGTGTTCCTCTTTGCTGAACACTTTCTCAAATGGGAGACCAAGGAAGATGAGGTTGACTCATGTATTCCAGCAGACAGAAACCTAACTTTAGATGTCTACTCTCTACATGTTTCTATAATTCTCACACAACAGCTTCAGATAAGGCACAGCTCAGATTTTTTTCATGTCTTTTCCACTTTCCTTTAACCCTGTGTTGCATTTGGAATCAATCACAATCTTGAAAGACACAGTTCCAAACACCATAATCGAATGTTGAAAATCAAAAGAACAAAATCCTTAAAGTCTAAAATTCCAAAAATCGCCATCCCAAAAGACTGAAATCCTGAAAATTTAATTCTGGAAAAAATAATTTTAAAAATTCTTTAAGATATATTTATTTACATTTTTAAAAGGTATTTATTTGAGTAACATATAAAAACACAAAAATAAAAACACAGCAGAACACTTCAAAGATCACCTTACACAATAAAATAAGCGATAACATACATTTTTGCAAGCATAAACATTCAGGCCTTCTATCAACAGTCACACAAGTATAAGAGTTATAAACAGATGAACTATATTCATGAAGAAATAGGTCAAAAGGTGAAATATGTAAATGCATATCATTGTGGTTGGTAATTGTATGCACCCAGCTCTATAACTGTAGTCTTCTGAAATACCATGATAGACAACATAAGTATTTTCATGATACTGATTAATCACCACCACAACAGTCACCTAAAGAACCAAGATCTCAAGAAATAATGTTTTAAATGTTTCTGTAGTACTGTAAGGTGAATATAGTTAACTATAATTTATTGTGTATTTTTACAAAGCTAGAAGAGAGGATTTTGAATGTTCACAAGACAAAGAAGTGCTAAATGCATGAGGCGATGTGCTAATTACCTTGATTTGATCACCCCATATTGTCTATGTGTATTGGACTAGTACTCTATATCTCATAAACATAATTATTACATGTCAACTAAAAATAAAAGGAAAAATATATTTTTAAAATGTTAACTCAAAAATCTTAGCTTAATAGTTGTAAAGAAAGAAGACTCTCCCATCAGAGTGAAGTGGGAGTGATCTTGCTTCAGGAAATGAAGCTGCATCAGCATAACAGGACTTTGACCTGAAGTCCTAGCTGCTGGCTGAAGCAGCCACTGAGGAGCCTTTGACAGCAAAATCTGTAAAAAACATTGCGTGATAGGCATACCTAATCGTTAAAGATAAAAACAATACATAGGTACACGAAGACATTCGTTGTATCTCATATTTTCTATAAATGTTCTAAGGAAATGTACTTGTTGCCTAGAGCTCATTTAAGAAACAAGGTTCTCTTCAGTGCAGCATGTGCTGTTTTAGGGACCCTGCCAGTGTCCTTCCAATAGGACCAATGCTCTAAAATCATCACATAAATAAAGTGTGACAAGAGTTTCAGCTTCTTGGTTTCGTACTCCTCCCTCAGACATACTCTACTTTGTACGTTTACATTTCCTCTTATCTATCTCAATTCTTCAAGCTTCCTCATTGAAAAATAAGCCCTGGAGAATGAATGGAATATGTAAATAAATGAAACATCCACCAGTAGATTATTGTTAAGAACTGTAGTATGTGTACATGATAGAATGCTTCCCCGTATTAAAGTAAATATTTTTAAAGATTATCCCAAAATATGGGTAAAGACTTAAGATAGGCTATTAAAGTGATAAAAATAGAATAAAAAGTAGAATTCAAAATTAGTCATAATATGATTCGAAGTAGAAAAAATAGGAGTAATGCAGCAAAGTATTAGTAACAATTTGATGTAAATGAACTGTGCCATTAATAATTTTTCTATATTTTTCATATTTGTCCATTTTTTGTTTCATTTTCTAAATAGTTACTTAAATTGTGCAAAATTTTCTCTACAGTATAAATGTCTACCAACAACTCAGAGAGAAAATGTCCTACAGTGGCATGTAACTTCAAATGATCCAGACCTTTACATAAGTGCTAAAAAGTGTTAATGGTGTCATTTCTGGGAAGGAGGTGCCCTAGAAGAGGGAAACAGACTGGATTCTCAGGCCTTTAAGGTTGTCTTCTTGAGACAGTCTCAGTGTCCTAACTATCAGCACCGTGTATGGAGCCGAGACCCAATTTGCATATTTCAACAAGCTTAATTTTCTCAACAGTTATGGCTTTCACTTTCCCCCATCTTCTTCCAGCCATCTCTATTTATACACCCAAGAAACTTTCAGATTTTCCTTAGTTTCCTCTCATAACACAAACGTGCCTGAGATGTTATCAGGCACATTTATCATTCACATGTCTCTTGAAGGCGTTCAGAAGAAATGAATGGTATCCTTTCTCCTGGAACTGCATCCCACCCTGGAAACCAAATGCTGTTTACATTACTCTTATAGGATTTTTCCAGACATATGATAAAAGAAAAAACTTCAGCTGAATTAAATTTAAAGGAGTTGAATTGAGCAATGAATGATTCACAAATCAGGCAGCCCCCAGAATCACAGCAGATTCACAGAGGCTCCAGCACAGCCATGTGGTGGTAAATTTATAGACAAACAAAAGGGAAATGACATACAGAAATCAGCAGTGAGTTACAGGAACAGCTGCATTGGTTACAGATTGGCATTTGCCTCATCAGTGTATTAATGATTGAAGTATGGCCACTGAGATTGGCTAAGACTTAGCTATTTGTTGCAGGTGCATACTCGTAAGTTAGGTTTTCAATTTTGTCTGCCTATTAAGCTAGGTTACGGTTCATCCACAAGGATTCAAATATGGAAGTACAAGTCCTTCTCAGGCCATATTTAGTTTGCTTTAACACCTATGAGCTTAATACTGACAAAGTGAACACTATTTCCTCATATCATACAAAACCAAAAGTGTTGAAACTAAACTGTCAGGATCTAATACTCAAATATCATAGTATGATATATTTTCAATTTCCCATGGTGTTCTTTCCCTCCTTTCATATATTCCTTCACTCTTATTTTTTAGCATATTCATTCATCACCCAAAACTTCATCTTATGTGCTAGGTGTTGGGCCAAGGCTTGGAGGAACAAAGTGATGCAAAATACTGATAGACTTTTTAAAATGCTTATTGAGTCAGAGGGGCATGAGATTCTGCATTTCTTTTTATAGATATATATACTTTAGGTTCTGGGATACATGTGCAGAACGTGCAGGTTTGTTGCATAGGTATACACGTGCCATGGTGATTTGCTGCACCCATCAACCAATCATCTACATTAGGTATTTCTCCCAATGCTATCCCTCCCCTAGCCCCCCACCCCTGAAAAGCCCCCAGTGTGCAATGTTGCCCTCCATGTGTCCATGTGTTCTCATTGTTCAACTCCCACTGATGAGTGAGCCAACATGCGGTGTTTGGTTTTTTGTTCTTGTGTTAGTTTGCTGAGAATGATGGTTTCCAGCCTCATCTATGTCCCTGAAAAGGACATGAACTCATCCTTTTTTATGGCTGCATAGTATTCCATGGTGTATATGTGCCACATTTTCTGTATTCAGTCTATCATTGATGGGCATTTGGTTTAGTTCCAAGTCTTTGCTATTTTGAACAGTGCTGCAATAAACATACTTGTGCATGTGTCTTTATAGTAGAATGATGTATAATCCTTTGGGTGTATATCCAGTAATGGGATCACTGGGTCAAATGGTATTTCTAGTTCTAGATCCTTGAGGAATCACCACACTGTCTTCCACAATGGTGGAACTAATTTACACTCCCACCAACAGTGTAAAAGCATTCCTATTTCTCCACATCCTCTCCAGCATCTGTTGTTTTCTGACTTTTTAGTGATCACATATGCAGAAAGCTGAAACTGGATCCCTTCCTTACATCTTACACAAAAATTAACTCAAGATAGATTAAAAACTTAAGTGTAAGACCTAAGCCCATACAAACCCTAAAAGAAAACCTAGGCGATGCCATTCAGGACATTGGCATGGGCAAAGACTTCATGACTAAAACACCAAAAGCAATGGCAACAGAAATCAAAATAGACAAATGGGATCTTATTAAACTAAAGAGCTTCTGCACAGCAAAAGAAACTATCATCAGAGTGAACAGGCAACCTACAGAATGGGAGAAAATTTTTGCAATCTATCCATCTGACAAAGGACTAATATCCAGAATCTACAAAAAACTTAAACAGATTTACAAGGAAAAAACAAACAACCCCATCAAAAAGTGGGCAAAGGATGCGAATGGACACTTCTCAAAGAAGACATTTATGCAGCCAACAAACATGAAAAAAAGCTCATCGTCACTGGTCATTAGAGAAATGCAAATCAAAACCACAATGAGCTATCATCTCACACCAGTTAGAATGGAGATTCTGCATTTCTAAAAGTCTCCAGCTGACACTGATGTTGCTGGTCAATAGACCATACTTCATGTAGCAATGATCTAGTGCTGACCTAGTGAAAATGTCCAAGGAGACAAGTTCCTGAACAAAAAAGCCTCAGAAATATCTCTACCTCACCCACATAATGATGAGAAAAAGTCAGAATTGGGAGTGATTCTTAAAAATCAGTGTTTCTCTCTCAAAGTCAGGTTAAGGAGTAGACATTGCCTGATTTCTATTAAATCCTACTAAGATTCTGCCAGATAGTAGAAAACATTGTAATACAAATTGAAAAACATCTTTATTCCTGTCATTTATTGATTTATATAACATGTTATTTGTTGAGAACCATGGTGCACTGGGATGTGTGGTACTAATCAGGGATACATGGTGACCTAAACTAGACCTGGAACACTCTTGAGGAGCTTACAATCTAGTATAAATCCTAAACACTGAATAAAATAGCCAGGTAAATAAATGCCAAATTAATCATTCAGTAAGTGTTATAAAGGAAAGGTACATTAAGGCCTAACATGATTCAATGGAGGTGGCGCAGGGAACTCTGTCTCACTCTTCATACCATAAAAGGCTTCTTGAGAAAGGAATGCTTGAGTTGAGACCCTAGAAAAATGAATAACATACTTTAAATAAAGGGAGATGAGGGTGAAAAGTGGATTTCAGGCACAGAGAATAGAATATGACATGATTTCATCTCCCTTTTTGAAACAGTAACTGTGGCCACGGTAGTGAAGAGTTTAGAGAAGGACAAGGGTAAATGTGAAACTAATTATGAGGCAAGTATATTTGTTTTTGTATTTTTGTGTATTTTTGCAAGACAGGATGAATTTTATTCTGTTTTTAAAATAAGTAAATTTATCTTTGTTCTTTGGAAGACCTCTAGTAAAGAATAAATGTCATGACATGTTAATCCTTAAAATTGTTATAGTTGCTCAAAAAAGAAACTCAAAAACTAAAATTGGATCCTATCAACCCAGATAAAACACTGAAAATTATGAAACTTTCACTCAAAATACAGTGATAACTGCAGAAAAGCAGCAACTATTTAATCATGCCCACCAACAATGTGCAGTGTCCTCCATGGGCCAAACACACTCCAGGTGGCGGCCATGGATGGAGGGGAAGAGGACTGGGGTTTTCTATGGGGTGATGGCAGTGTTTTGGAGCTCAAAAGAGGTGGTGGTTGCACAATGTGAATGTGCTGAATGAGGCAAGTATATTTGAAAAAGATGGAGGCAGTCAGTAGAGGTGGTGGTAGAAATTGAAGGAAATGCATATTATTACATATTTGGGAAGTAAAATGTATTTAAAGATTGGAAATGGAGGTGAACGGTTAGAAAGATGGTCAGATACCTTGCCATGGCGTCTCACCCTAATACTTCAGTGCATGCCAGCCTGACTTCCAGCATTCACCCCTGCATTTCCTTACCTGAGGGCTTTCTCTGATCACAGAAGCCACTTTTGCTGTCCCTGCTGCAGGTTGGGCATGCTGAGGAATCAATGCGGCTAGGAGACAGTCCATAACTAATGACTATCAGAAACTGTTGTACGAATACCCTTTATCTCTCAGCATGTTTCTGAGATGAGTTATCTACACTGGATCTCAGAGTTATTCCAAGTTTAATCCACAGTTATCCATTCTGGTAACTGCTTCATAGTTCACTCTTTATAAGGGTCTTTGCCCCACTTCCCAGTTCTCCTACCAGAGATTCTGATACCTACCAAATGAATCACCTGCAGGTGAATCTTAGTCTCTGGATCTGCTTTCAGGGTAGCACTGTAGTCAGATGAATGGGAATCCATTCTCTCAGAAATGCAAGAAGGGAATGTGGTTTGGGAAAGTTCATTAGATCAATTTTGGAGTTGAGTTTGAGGTGCCCCTGAAACATTCAAGTAAAACTATCATCCAGCAGTCAAATATTAATACCATGTAGCAGTTGTCATCTGGAACTCTGAGGATGCAATTTGTATTAACAATTTGATATACTCATTGGCAAATAAGTAATAACCAAAGCTTTGGAGAAGAAAATGACCTAGACAATAGTATAGCATTGAAAGATGTGAAGGCCTGGAACTCAGCCTCACAGAGCTTCAGAATTTAATGGCCAAATAAAGGAAAAGAAGCCCACAAATCAAATAGAGGAGTTGTAGCCAGAAATGTGGGAGTTTTCTGGGCAATCAGGAGGCAAAGTAGAGTAGAGTTGACACTGAAGCCAAAGGAAAAAATGTGTTGGAACAGCAGTGCTGAATTCTGCTGAGAAGAGATACATCTTGAAAAAAAAATGTCCATAAGACTTAGACACATGAATGTTATTGGTGATTTCTGCAATGGCCATTGCAGGGTTATGATGGGGAGGGAACCATATTTAAATATATTCAATGTGAGGCAGGCATGAAGAAGAGATGAGGCTTTCTTGCTGTGTGTTAAGCATGCCAGCCATCCCCCTGCCTTGTGGCGCCTATACATACCATCTCCTCTGCCTGTAATGCTCTTTTGCTAGATATTTATATTTCTTGCCCCAACACTTCCTTCAAGTCTTTTCTCAAATATCACCTTCTCAGTGAGGCCTTCCCTGACTAGCTATTGAAAATTACACCCAGTGGGGATGGGGAGATATTGGTTAAAGAGTTCAAAGTCTCAGCTAAACAAGATCAATAAGATCTGGAGATGTACTGTATAGCATGGTGACTGTAATTAATAATAACATATTGTTCAGTTGTCTCTTTATATCTAGGGGAGACTAGTTCCAGCTCACGCTGGAGACAACAAAATCAGCAGATGCTCAACCGCCTCATGTAAAATGGTGCAGTATTTGCATATAACTTACACACATCCTTCCATGTAGTTTAAATAATGTCTACATTTCTTATAGTAGCTAAGACAATGTAAATGCTACGTAAATAGTTGTTATACTATATATTTGAATTATTTTTTGTCATATTGTTATTTTTATTTTTTTCTAAATATTTTCCATCTGTGATTGATTGAATCTGCAGATGCAGAACCACAGATACTAAGGGCCAAAAGAATACTTGAAAATTGCTAAGAGAGTTGATCTTAAATGTTCTCACAACAATAAAATGGCAAGCATGTGAGGTGACGGATATGTTAATCAGTTTGATTTAATCATTTTGCAATGTACACATATATCAAAATATCACCTTGTATACCATAAATATATACAATGTTTTCAAATTAAACCTTAATTAAGCTGAGGGAAAAATGTACACCTGCCACCTGTCACCTCCAACACACACTTCCTATTGACCTGAACCTTCTAATTTTTCTCCATCTTTACTCATCGCCCCCCAAGCATGCCACATAGTTTATTTACCCTGTCTTCCCCCATTACAATATAACTTCCACAAGTCAATAATTTTTATCCATTTTGTTCACTGCTGTATTCATGAGTATTTATAGTAGTGTCTGGAATGTTAACAATTATTATTGTTGAATTAACTAATCAATTATTAATATTTTAAAAATATAAATAAACATGTATATTACATTTTGCATTTAAATGCCATTAGAGCCCAACTATAAATATAAGTATAGATGGAAGGGGAAACCTTAAATGGTTTTATCCTTATATTCTTTTTGCCAATATGTTTTCCCACATTTCTCTACAATAAACTTCTACACCTTTATAATATTGAGAGTAAATATTTCTTAAGAAAAATTAACCTTAAGAGAGAGCTCAAAAAAATAAATAATTCACAAAAAACTGCTGTGAAGGCTATGCATGGAAAGGGCAGAAGGGAGATGGAGGGAGTGCAGAGACCTGTGGGCTGAGTCTGAGCCTCAAGGCTTTTTCAGCATGAAACTCAGCAAAGACAGGTGTTAAAAAGGCCTGCCTCCCACCGCCCCTGCTGTTCACTAAGCTTAGGCAATCAAAGTGTACCAGTGTTTTTTCACTGCCCAGCATATACTGATTTAAGGACTCAACACTCTGACTTGAGAAAACCTAAAACATGAAGTTATCTCAAAGGTGGGTGAGATTCTAAGGAGGCTCAAATATATAGTCCTCAATTAATTCTCACCTCAACTTAGTTACAATCTGATACAACATATTAGGAGACAGGAACAGCACAGTGGTAAAAATCAAACCTCACCTCAAAAGATCGTAAATTATTGCTCTCAGATTAGTATTAACTGACACAATATGTGCAGTGAGTATCTTCTCTTCCTCCTCCCGAATTACAGAAGAGAACGTGAAAGACTAGGAGCCATACACATTACCCCAGGGAAAGCAGAGTGAAAGGGCAGTCTGGGTGTCCTTAACTGCACCACTCACAGAGGGGGCCTGTCCCACAACCAGCCAGGTTATTTCAACCTATTCTTACCTGACAAAAAGGATCTGGGGGCCTTGGCTCCACTGTAGGTGGGTAATTTTATTCCAACTGGTTTTGGGTGCTAGTTTTCTGCCTAGTGGTCAAATTCAGAAACCGAATCAGGACCTAGATCTCCACCTGGAGCTCTTAGGTTAGCTAATCAATGTCTTCTTGGTCCTCAAGGAAGGGTTTATTGTTTTTGTTTGCTTGTTTGATTGGTTGTTTGCCATTGCATTAAAATTCTTTCTTACCCAGCAATTGATGAGTTCAAGGCTATCCTGTCACATTTCGTGATGTGGCCTGAGCCCTCCCAGAGTGTTACTGACTGGGACCAACTACTAACTAAAGTTTAGTGAAGAGAAGACAATGAGCTTGCTGGAACATCACAGAGGCTTGGTTGCCATGGTAGTGATTGTCAGATGAGATCACAGAGAAGGGTGTAAGAGAAAAGAAAGAAAAACATGCAGGAAAAGCTGAAGCATAATATTATACTAAAATATATATATATTATATATATATATTTTATACATATTTATACTGTCTAAACTTACAGTGGAGTAATGTGTTGAAACTTGAGGGGAAAACTACTTTTTGAGAAAGACTGACTTTCCAGCATCTTCTTAGAGAGATGTGGTTTCATGGAAGAATGGTGTCTGAGCTACATTTTGTCTTATTCTAAAAGTAAAAGGAATGGGACTGATCTGGAAGCACATAGATTCCAGATCAATACTAATACCAGACTATTGTAATGCCAATTTATAAAAGGAAGCTAGGTATCCATTAAAATAACAGAAAATCAACAGGTATTTTTTGTAACAGATCATTGAGTTGGATGTGAAATGGTTTAAAGCTTTAACTATTCCAGGGGCTCCTGCAAAGTGTAAACTTAGTGTTTTCTTGAGTTAGCACTGAAAGGAGAGCAGGATTGAGGGACAAAAGAAGCAATCCAGTCATCTAGTAATATGACTCTGGATGATGTTTGCTCTAAATTGCTCCCAGCATCAGTATGTGGAAGGTGGACAGTGTGTGTGAACTTCAAAGCCCCCGCAGGGCTTCAGTTGGCTTGAATAAAATGTTACTGGTTATCCTGCCACCTTGTGGCTATGGGCCAACATGCCAGGGTGTGGAGAAGGAAGGGAGGAAATTAATGAATCACAGAGTTGCCTGACTGAAGAAGGAAAGCTCAGAAACACATCCTCTTCTCTCTTCCCTATAGATGTCAACTTGCCCATCACTTGATTAGCTAAAAGTGAATAGGGCTTAAAGTTCAGTCCTTGAATGAGATTTTGCTTATATAGCCCTCCTAGGACTTTTGTCCTATCAGAGTAGCTTGTTGCACAGTGTGCTCCTTGTGATCAACGGTTAGTTAATCTTGTCTCTCCAAAATCTAAAGTTTAAATCCTTATTCATTAAATCAGACTGTTTATCAAGTATAGTGCTTTACTAACGAGATTATTTCAGAAACAAGCGAACAAAACAATAAGACGTATGCTGTTTGTTTTTTGAGACAGGGTCTTGCTCTGTTTTCCAGGCTAGAGTGCAGTGACACAATCACGGCTCACTGGAGCATTGACCTTGTGGCTCAAGCAATCCTCCTACCTCAGCTTCCCAAGTAGCTGGGACCAAAGGTGTATACCAACACGCCCAGCTAGGTGTTTTTATGTCTGTCTGTTTGTTTGTTTTATTTTGCAGAGATGGAGGTCTCCCCAGGTTGTCCAGGCTGGTCTCAAACTCCTGGGCTCAAGTGAACCTCCCGCCTTGGCTTCTCAAAGTGCTGGGATTATGGGCGTGAGCCACTACACCTGCCCAATATTGTTGATCAGAGTAAAGAAAAGACATAAGCACCCAGTAACAGTTAGAAGCCATATTCAGATTAGCTATAATTTTCACTAGAACCATCCCAATCTCTTGAAAGATAAAACATCAAATTAAATGTAGCCAAATCTAATTGCTTCACCTCTGATTTTTTTTAATCACTTGAAAAGGGTAATGGTTCCCTCACATTTTGTATATAAAATCTACTGGCTAGGGGAAGGCTCAGAAACTTGAATGTTAAATAGGATCCCAGGTGATTTTTACACACACTGAAGTATAAAGGTCACTGGACCATTCTAGTGGCCATGGGTCCCCTCTGGTTGGCCTGTAGTTGAAATCTATGGGAACAACTTTCAAACTACCACATCTGAGGAATCAGTGGAGGTTAGGAGGTTACTTTTAGAAGGTGATTGGGAATGTACTCGAATTTGAGATTTGTTAAAGTTCATTATAGTTATCACATATGAAAGAAGCAGCACACATGAGGAAAGGAGAGCTCTGGGGCTCCATGATAATTCAGCATGCCACAAGAGAACACTGAGACACAATTAAATGAAATCACAACAATGATAGATGAGCAAGATAAAAATATTGAAGTAAAGATATAGAAATTTTACAAGAAGAAACAATTAGAAATTCTGGAGCTAAGAATTCTATGACGGAAATAAAAAAATCACTAGGGGGTGTTCACAAGTAGACTTGATCAAACAGAAGAAGGAATCAGCTAATCCAGACACCAGTCATTTCAAATTATATAGACAAAGGAGCAAAAGAAAAAAGAATAAAAAAGAGCCAATGAACCTACGGACTTAAGGTACATCATAAAGTGAAATAATATACTGATCACAAAAGTTCCAGATGGAGAAGAGAAAAATAAGAAGGAAAGTAAGGTGCTGGCTAAAAGCTTGCCAAATCTGTAGAAGAAAAAGGACATACAGATACATGAGGCCAAATGCAACTGAAATAAAACAAATTCAAGGGAAGTCCACACAAAGACATATTATAATTATATGTCAAAAGTCAAAAAGAGTGAATTTTGAAGAAGCAAGACAATGCTGAAAGAGAGAAATTCTCAACCAAGAATGCAATTTCTGGAAAAAAATTTTCTTCAAAAATGAAGAATAGATAAAGACTTTCTCAAGCAAAAGCTGAGAGAAACAACTTCATCACCACTAGATTTGTCATAAAATAAATGACAGGTGAGCTCTTTAACTCAAACAAAATAATACTAAATAGCAAAACTAAGCATAACTAAGCATATTAAAATATAAAACTTACTGGAAAAGCTAATTATTTAAACAAATACAAAATTGTGCAACATTGTAATGGTGGTGCACCTTTTTCTAATATGAAAGTCAAAAGACAACAAAGTAGAAATTACTATAACTACAGAAGTATAATAGTAGATATACACACATAAAAGATGTAATTGTGACATCAATAACAAAGTGGGAGAAGTGCAGAATTTTTTATGTGATTAAAGTTGAGTTGTTATTAGCTTAGAATAAACTTTGCCTCCATATATATGATGTTTTACATAAGCCCCAAGGTAACCAAAAAAATAAAATACTACAGAAAATATACAAAAGAAAAAGGAAATAAATACATATCAATACAAAAATATCAATGAACACAAAAGAAAACAGCAAGAGAAAAAAGAAAGAAGAATTATAACACAGACAGAAAAAATAAAATGAAGTGCCATAGCAAGTCCTTACTTATTAATACAACTTTGTAAATACAGTTGTCCCACAGTATCCATGAAAGATGGGTTTCAAGATCGCCTGTGGATACCAAAATTTATGGATGCTAAAGTCCTTTATATTAAGTGATATAGTATTTGCATATAACCCATGCACACCATCCCCTATACTTTAAACCATCTCTAGATTACTTATCATATCTAATAGAATGTAAACAGTATATAAATACCTGTTACACCATCTAGTTTGCATTACTTTTATTATTCCATTTTTTATCAGTTATTTTTATGGGGGTGTGTGATTTTTTTTATGCATGGTTGGTTGACTCTGTGGATGTGGAACCTACATCCAGCTGACTGTAAATGGATTAAAAATTCCCCAGTCAAAAGACAAAGAACGTCCAAATGCATTAAAAAATAAAATCAAACTATAGGCTGTCAACAAGAGACTATAGATTCAAGGATGCCCAAAGGCTGAAAGTGAAGGGAGGGAAAAAAATATTCCATGCAAATCATAACGAAAAGACAGCAGGAGTGGCTAAATTTATACCAGGCCAAATAGACTTTAGGTTAAAAACTGTCACATGAAATAAAAAAGGTCATTATATAATGATAAAAAGGTCAATTATCAGGATGTTAGAACAACTATAAATGTATAGGCACCCAAGATCAGAGTACCTAACTATATATAAGGCAAACATTGACAGATTTGAAGGGAGAAATAGACAGCAATAAAATAACAATGAGACACAACATTACGCCACTTTCAATAATGGGAATGAATCTCTAGCAGAAAACCAGTAGGGAAATAGCAATCTTAAACATCCTATAAAACAAAAGGACCTCATAGACATGTACAGAACTATCCAGTGACAGCAGAATACACATTCTTCTCAAGTGACTATATAACATTTTTCAGGATAGGTCATCTGTTAGGCCACATAACAAGCACAAGTAAATTTAAGAATATAGAAATTATGTAAGTAGGAAAAGTATCTTTTCTATCTATAATGATATAAAACTAAAATCAATAACAAGCAAAACTAGAAAATTCACAAATATGTGGAAATCAATACACTCTTGAAAAACCATTATGTCAAAAAGATATCGAGGGAAATTAGAATGTATCTACCTATAAAAAAAGACCAAAAACGCAAAATAACAAAACTTATGGATGCAGCTAAAGTGGTATTGAGGCAGTATAGCAATAAACATCTACTCTAAACATAAGAAAAATGTCCAAAAACAAACCCACCTTACTTTAAACTTCAAGGAAGTAAAAAGGAACAAATTAAGCCCAAATTTACCAAAGGAATTAAATAACAGAGATTAGAACAGAAATTAAATAAATCAAATACAGAATAGGAAAACAATAGAAATAATCGATGAAATATAAAATAATGTTGGCAAATCTTAGCTAGACTAACCAAGAAAAAATAGAGAAGACCCAAATAAAATCAGAAATGAAAGAAGAAACAATACAACTCATGCCATAAAAATACAAATGATCATAAGGGATTACTATAAACAATTATTTGACAATAAATTGGAAGGCCAAGAAGAAATGATAAATTTCTGGAAATGTTCACCCTACTATGACTGAATCATGAAGAAACCGAAAATTTAAACAGACCAATAGTGAATAAGAAGATTGCATCACCAATAAAAAACTGATTAAAAACCTCTCAGCAAAGAAGCTCAGGAAGAGATGGCTTTGTTAATAAATGCCACCAAACATTTTTTAAAAATTACCAGTTCTTTATATACTCTTCCAAATTATTGAAGAAAAACCACATTTCCAAACTCATTAAATGAGGCTAGTATTTCTGTGATATCAAAGCCAAAGACTTTATAAGATAAGAAAATTACAGGTCAATATTCTTGATGAATAAAGATGCAAAAATTCTCAACAAACTTAAATACTCACAAACAGAATTCAACAGCACATTAAAAGTATCACACCTCATGATCAAGAGAGATTTATCCTTGAGATGCAGGGATGATTCAACATATGCAAATCAATAAATGTAGTACACCACATTAACAAAAATACTAAAAACATATAATCTCCATAGATTCAGAAAAAGCATTTGGGGCCGGGTGCAGTGGTTCACGCCTGTAATCTCAGCACTTTGGGAGGCCAAAGTGGGCAGATCACGATGTCAAGAGATCGAGACCATCCTGGCCAACATGGTGAAACGCCATGTCTAATAAAAATACAAAAATTGGCTGGGTGTGGTGGTGTGCACCTGTAACCCCAGCTACTCAGGAGGCTAAGGCAAGAGAATTGCTTGAACCTGGGAGGTGGAGGATGCAGTGAGCGGAGATTGCACCACTGCACTCCAGCCTCGTGACAGAGTGAGACTCCATCTCAAAAATAAATAAATAAGAAAAAGAAAAAGCATTTGGAAGTGGCTGGAGCAAAATGGTGGAATAGAAGGCTCCATCAATTGTCCTCCCACAGGAACACCAAATGTACCAACTGTCTACACAAACACAGCACCTTCATAAGAACCAAAAATAATATGAGCACTCACAATACCTGGTTTTATCTCCGTATCATTGAAAGAGGCACTAAAGAGAGTCAGAAAGAGAGCCGTGAATTGTTGATGCCAACTCTCCCTCATCCCCACTACAGCAGCCACATGGCACAGAGAAATGTGTGTTTGGGAGAGGGAAAGTGCAGCAATCGTGAGACTTTGCATTGAACTCAGTGCTGCCCTATCACAGTGGAAAGCAAAACTGTGCTGAACTCAGCTGACACAGACCCACAGAGGGAGCCTTTAGACAAGGTCCAGCCAGAGGGCAATTTGCCCACTCCAGCAGATGGAGCTTGAGTTCTGGCAAGCCTTGCTGCCATGAGCTGGAGTACTCTAGGGTCCTAAATAAATTTGACAGGCAGTCTAGGCCACAAGGACAGCAAGTCCTGGTGCTGAGCTGGGCTTGGAGCCAATGGACTTGGGAACACATGACTTACTGAAACAACAGCTGGGGCAGCTAAGAGAGTCCTTGCCCACACCTCCCCTAACCCCAGCAGCACAGCTCGTGGCTCCAAAAGAGATCCTTTACTTCTGCTTGAATAAAAGAAAGCGAAGAGTAAAGATGATGTTTGTCTTGCATCTTAGATCCCAGCTCATTACAGTAAGAAAGAATATTGGTCCGTCATGAGGCACCATTCCAGGCCCTAGCTCCGAGATGACATTTCTAGACACACCCTGGGCTAGAAGGGAACCTGCTGCCTTGAAGGAAAGAACCAGTCCTGGCAAGACCCATCACCTATTGACTAAAGAGCCCTTGGGTCCTGAATAATGAGAAGCAACACCCAAATAGTATGCAATATGCCTTGGGTGAGACTCGAGACATACTAGCTTCAGGTGAGACCTAGCACATTCCCAGCTGTGGTGACTACAGTGACAGACTCCTTCTGCTTGAGAGAAGCAAAGAGAAAGGTCAAGGGGACTTTGTCTTGTACCTTAAGTACCAGCACAGTCAAATGGGCATAGTGCATCAAGGGGGCTCTTGAGGTTCCCTATTCTAGCCCATGGCTCTTTTATGGCATTTCTGGAGCTTCTCTGGGCCAGAGGGGAGCCCATGTCCATGAAAGGTGATTCCCAGGCATAGCAGCATTCACCACAAGCTGACTGAAGAGCCTGTGGGCCTTAAGTACACACAGGTGGGAGTGTGGCAGTTACTCACCATAGGCCTGTGATGGTGGTGGCCACAGGGTCATTCTCCTCTGCCTGTGGAAAGAAGAGGGAAGAGTGGGAAGGGCTGTGTCTTGTGGCTTGAGGGCCAGCTCAGTTGCAGTATAATAGAATACCAGGTAGACGTCTAAGGTTTTTGACTCCAGTCCCTGGGTACCAGACAACACCTCTAGACCTACCTGGGGCCTGGAGGACTCGCTGCATGGAAGGGAAGGACACAAACCTGGCCTCAGGTGATGTATCTAATGTAAACTACATAATCTATAAGAAATATGTAAATAATATTTTCCTATGATATATAACCTCAGTTCCTAACACAGATGTCCAGAGGCAAATCTTTCAAATTCACAAGCAAAAATTAGATAGAAGCAAGTTACATGTGAACAAATGGAATCAGATGCAATGAGAGAAAACAGCTAGCACATTATATACATAGCTGAAAGCTGGACAGAATAAAAACTTGAATTTTAGATTCAATGTATTTAGAAGCACAATAGAATTCAAATGGTACATTTAAACATGTGAGAGTGTTTTTCTACTCTAAAACTGGAAAGGAGAGGGGAGGAGGATTTAATGAGATAATGAACATTATGTAACTGTCACAATAAACATTTAATACATGACAGTGGTTGTTGTTATGCTTACTATCTTAGAAGTCAAATGTTCTTTAAAGAAAGTGTCCAAAAGTAGATTTATGCCATAAATGATGCCAAGAATTAGGGCAAAGGGCAGGTCAAAGTTGAATAGGGGATATGATGTAGCAATTGTCAGCTTTGGTTAGTAACCTGGTTAATGTCCTCCTTTATTATAAATAGGGATCTAATTCAAAGGAAGGAACAGTATAATACATACACAATATACTTTTGCAACCATCTGAGCTGACAAAAAAAGCAGGGTCCCACAATAGCAGAGGCTTATGAGAAAAAGTCTGAACTGAATATATGAACACCTAAGTTTTAGGCCTCTTTCTTCTAACAGCCAACATAACTTTGGATCATTCTAACCTCTCTGGTCTCAGTTTCTGTGATACGAGGAAATTGAGCTTAATAAGACTAGAGGTCCTTTCTGACACTAACATTCTACACTGGTGTATTCCTCTCACATTTTTAAAGTTAAATTTATGGTTTATTTTTTAATATAAGATAATTCATCACCAGTATAGTAACAAGATGAGAAGGCATCTGAGCTAAGGAAATAGATGTTTTTCCATCTGCCTCTTGCTGTTTTTCTATCATAGAGCAAGATCTTCCTAGTAAAGGGTTGAAGGCAACTTTTCTGTGTCAAATTAGCTGTTGCTCAGCAAATAGAAGTTAAATGCCACTATACGGAGCAAACAAACACGTGCTAGCATGAAATCTGTGGCAGCATCCTCAGTACCCTACTTCAGTCAACAGAACTATCCAGGACAGATCTCCTAAAAACATAATTTATTGACAACATAATGAGGTTCTCTTTTTGTACTGACCTAATTCAATTTTAGATTATGTTTAAACTGATTTTTCTTAGAATTTTTCAAAATACAATACAAAATTTTCTAATAGGGAGAAATTATATGTATAAATATTTGAATATGTGTATTACAAAACATTACATCAAAGCAGAATTAATTTAAATGCAAATAGAGAAAGTCGTTTGGACCCTATGTTATGTGATGTCAATGAAACTTACACTCTGAAAAACAGAGATATGATATAGTGGAGGCTGTGGGATCACGTAGTAACATGTTGAGCCACATTCTCCCATAACCCTGATTTCATTGAACTAAGACAAAGATGGGAGGTGAGTTATTGAATTGAGAACTATATGGAACTTTTCACAAAAGTGCATTAAAAGATTGTCTTGGAGTCAAAAGAAATAAATATAACACTTTAAGAGAGAGAAAATGGTTATTGTAGTGGTCCCTATCGTTCATTTCCTTCATAGATTAGAAGAATGAGTGTCATAGAAGCCAATAACATTTCTGGGCCTGTGAGTGAATTTATCCTCCTGGGCTTCCCCTGCCTGCTGCAGGGAGACCAAGATCCTCCTCTTTGTGGTCTTCTCCCTCATCTACCTTCTGACCCTCATGGGTAACACATCCATCATCTGCGCTGTGTGGTCAAGCCAGAAACTCCACACACCTATGTACATCCTCTTGGCTAATTTCTCTTTCCTGGAGATCTGCTGCATTAGTTCTGATGTCCCAAAATGTTGGCCAATCTCATCTCCCATATCAAGAGCATCTCCTATGCTGGCTGCCTGCTCCAGTTCTTCTACTTCTCCATGTGTGCTGCAGAAGGCTACTTTCTGTCTGTGATGTCCTTTGATCGGTTCCTTACCATCTGTCGACCTTTGCATTATCCCACAGTCATGACTCACCACCTGTGTGTCCGATTAGTGGCCTTCTGCAGGGCAGGTGGTTTTCTATCCATACTGATGCCTGCAGTGCTTATGTCCCGAGTGCCTTTCTGTGGCCCTAACATCACTGACCATTTTTTCTGTAACCTGGGACCATTGCTGGCACTGTCCTGTGCCCCAGTTCCCAAAACTACTCTGACTTGTGCTACAGTAAGCTCTCTCATCATCTTCATCACCTTCCTCTACATTCTTGGGTCCCATATCTTAGTTTTGCGAGCTGTTCTGTGGGTCCCAGCTGGCTCAGGCAGGAACAAAGCTTTCTCTACATGTGCTTCCCATTTCTTGGTTGTTTCTTTCTTCTATGGCTCAGTCATGGTGATGTATGTGAGTCCAGGCTCCAGGAGCCGCCCTGGGACACAGAAATTTGTGACATTGTTTTACTGCACAGCAACCCCATTCTTTAATCCCCTGACCTACAGTCTCTGGAACAAAGATATGACAGATGCCCTTAAAAAAGTGCTGGGAGTGCCATCAAAAGAAATATATTGGAACACACTGAAATGATATACATTCTTCTACAATTATTCCATAAGAAATGCAAAATTTCTCTCATTTTAAAAAAAAACTATTTTCTGGTGATGTCTGAGCACTTGGCTTCTTACTCATAAAAGCGTGACTCATTACACACAAAGAGCCCTGATCCTATCTCAAAGCAAAAAGTATACAAAGTCCTAAGTTTCATCGTAGGTAAGATCTGTACAATTTTTATTCATCTATGTATCATTTTTCCATTTTGGAGATTTTTTAAGTCCTAAAACTATATGTAATTCAGTTGGTATGTACAAAGCTAAGACCCATGTTTCTAATTTGTATTTTGGCTTTATCCTAATGCAACTTTATGTATCTTAAATGTGTTTTAAATTTATCAACTGTTTTTTCCTTGCCAACTATAGGTTTTTCTATAATGAAAAACAGCATCTACTCACTGTACTCACAAAAATTAAATTGCTTTATCTATAATATCAAAGAACGAGAATCCGTCACTGAAACAAGAATGTTTTTTAATTTGTATTTTCCTTATTACTAAGTCTTGGTAAGGTGTTCATGGTGCGCAGCAAATAAAAACTAGAAATGGTATAGATTCTTAAGGGAAATTCCTGTTCCAGCTCTGAAGAGAATGCATAGAAGGGCATGCATACATTCAAATATGCCAAATAATTAAATATTTCTTACTCAAACCTGGGCTTCTATACTTTGAGCTTATAGTGAAGAAACATCTACTGTTACAGAAAATAAACATAGGATATCAGGGAATCAACTCTATCAACCAAAATATAAGCTACCTTAAAGCAGTCACCACCTGGATTAAGAAAATGTGGTGCATCTACACCATGGAA